>NC_000007.14:112809809-113112839 GCF_000001405.40 Homo sapiens | reverse complement strand
ATATCTAAGGTAGTGTATGTGGAAGGGTTGGCTTGCTGTATGTTATTATTTTTAGGAGTATTTAGAGATATTTCCTAAAGAGAAGGGGGAAGAAACTTTACAAGCATCAATTTTGAATTTTTAAAGAGGATATCTTAAAAGTTATATGAACAAATCCTATATCAAACTTTAATTTTAATTTTGACATTTTCCCAAGTCCTAACAGGCCCTTGAAGATGATACTCAGTCTTTGTTTTTTCTTATTATAGTCCTTCCCAACACACACAATTCTAGCTTACAAACTGATAAAGCTCAAAGACACCTGTGAAGAAAAGAAAATTCGACTACCCTAAAATTTTTTTAAATCTTCTGGTTTGTACCTCATGCTTTCGAAGGGGAAAAAAAGGAAAGAAAATAATTGATTATTTTTTAATGATTCTTAATACGTTAACCATGGGTTCCTTCCTAGGTAGCATAACAGAAGGTTAGCAGCAACTGCCCAGGTCATTTAAGGAGAGGCAAGGAATTTGGTTTTTCCTGTTCAGGAAAATAGCAGATCTGGTCCATATTCCACCAAGAAAAATACTTACAAATCTCATCTCATTAGAAGTCATGAAATTATAAACTACATATAATGTGTTTAATGTTTGTTTCCTATGGTGGGGAGTAGAGAGGAAGCCCTTATCTTGATTTACTAATCCCAGACATGATTTTCACTCATAGGTGAAAATGGGGCCAAATCAATAAATAAATTTGCAGAATAGCATGTTTATTTTTTTTCTAATTTTCAGTAACTTCATTTTTCTAAATACTTTCTATAACTGACTAATATACATCTAACATCTAAATGCAAAATGCAGAAGACCAGAAAAATATATGATTGCTGCAAAAAAAAGATAATGTCGTTTAATTTCTCATTGATTTATAAGTATCAGAGCTAAAGTACTCTTCTCACATATTTCCACTGGATCCATTTTATGTGGGTGATTAAAATTTTGAAAATATTAGTTGGCACTTCATAATATGAAATGAAATTATGAAATTTTATATACAAGAGGGTTAATTATTTTTAAAGGGCTAATCATGTAGCACTTTGTTAAACACAGGGATTATAAATACTGTATTTCTCAATATTAATCAAGATAATTATGCTCTGTTTAAATGTGCGTAAATCACTTAACAAAAGAATTTAGAAGCAGGCATGAGCACCAAGAGCAGAAACTATACCATTTTCTATTTCAGATTATTTGTCACAACAACCCTTTCATTCTGCCACAAAAATTACCAGGGCATTTCAATACCAACATGAAACAGTTTTATAGCCCCTGAGATGGCATGTGCTTAACTTTAACTTGTTTACTCAACAGTTTTTGAGAAATAACCAGTACTCTTTAGAAATAAAAATATTTATCAACTATCAGGCAAATGATCTTGAGCCAATAATTTAACCTCCACAACTTTTTCATCTGTAAAATTTTTTGTCAGTAATTTCTAAGAGGTTTCCTATTGATAGAATTTTGTGGCTTCATAAGGATTTTCCTAATTTCAAAAATAATAAGGTATAATGTGTTAAAAATATTGTAATTATCCATTTTCAGTTGGCAGCAGTGAGGAGCTGATTTTTTCTTCGAACTCCTCAGTGACAGTAGTCTAGTCATTTGGTACATTTTGGATTTCAATTCGGTGAAGCAGGGAGGGGCAGCTCATTTTCTGTACTGAACAAGTGTGATTAGGGATTGTCTCAAGAAGGAAGAATGAAAACAAACCATGGCCCTGCCACTCTCACTCACAGCAAACAGCCCACCTGCTAATTGATGTTGACCTGGCTCTATTCAGGAATAAACAACCTTTTGGTTTCATAGGCTTGGTCTTTTCTGGCATCACCAGTGAGACTCAGGTCATAGATACCATCTTCCCAGTGACCAAGACAGACACTTGAGAGGATGGGTGGCACACATCACACTCCCCGTCTGATGTATCTTTTAAGTCCTGTGGAATCCACCTCCAAATTATCCCTACGATTCGCCCACTTCTCTCCATCCCTGTGGCTCCTACCCATGTAGACCATCATGAGGACGTGGATGACATCCGCAGCACCCCCCAGCTGGTCTTCCAGCCTCCTGTATTAGTCTGTTCTCACACTGCTGTAAAGAACTACCTCAGACTAGGTAATTCATGAAGAAAAGAGGTTTAATTGACAGTTCTGTAGGCTGTACCAGAAGCATGGATGGGAGGCCTCAGGAAACTTACAGTCAAGGCAGAAAATGAATGGGAAGCAAGCACGGCTTACCATGGTGGAGCAGGAGAGAGAAAAATAGTAAATGAGGAAGCGCTACACACTTTTAAATGACCAGATCTCATGAGAACTCACTATCATGAGAACAGCAAGAGGGAAATCCGCCCCTATGATCCAATCACCTCCCACCAAGTCCCTCCCCCAACTGGGGATTACAATTCAACATGAGATTTGACTGGGGACACAGAGCCAAACAATATCACCTCCCATCTTACCCCTCTGCAATCTTTTCTAAACACAACTGTGGTAAACTTCATAAAACAAATCTGATCCCATCTCAAAACTGTTTAAGGGATTTCCTGTTTTTATGAATTTTTTAACCTTAAGAAAGCACTGTGTGATCTGCCCATATTCCCTCCCCTTATTTCTCCAGTCTCATCTATGTCTGTGATCCCTAACCTACCTTGCATTAAACTTTTTTCTCTTTCTAGAAAGCACCAGGTGAGTTCTCTCTCTTCCTCTCTTCTTCCTTTTACCTTCTACTTCTTCCTTCTCCTTCCTCCTCTCACTGTCTGTTATTCTCCTCACTTCTCCCCCACTCTGTGTCTGCATGGTTCTTTCTCTGCCTGGGGTAGTTTTTCCAGTTCACCTAGCTTATTCCTGTCTCTTTAGGCTTGAACCACACTTTTTTAGGACAACTTCCCTGACCTGTCTGAGTCACATACCCCACTGTATGCTCACATAGCATTCTTCACCTCTCTTAACAGGTACATATCACGCTGTACTGGAATTTCTGTTACTTATCTTTATCTCTAAACACCCTCACCCCTGTCTCAGGATTCTAAGCTCTGTGAGTGCACACACTGAGTCTCTAATTCATTGTATTTCTGCTTCCAGCATAACTCCTGGCATGTAGAATTTGCTCACCCAATTCTTATAGACTAATTTGTGATATAAAGTTAATGTAGCCCAGGATCCACAGTGGATCATGACATCCCCCAGTGAGCCTGGCTGTGCCCACACTGTCATCAGTACAGCTCTCCCAACCTTTCAGATGTTGCATGGGACAGGCCTGAGATTCTTTGTGATATGTATCATTTTCTTGGACATTAAATTATATTTATAAAACATGATTTTAATAAATATTAAGATATAGGCTAGTTAGTTGAGTTAAATGATTATATATACTATTTATAAAAGCTTGCATTGTATGGACATATTTAATGATCTGTATAACATTTAGTTCAGAAATGATTCATCATTTTGAATGATGAACCATAGGATGATCTTCTCCTTTGCCCTCTCTCGTTCTCTTACTCATACTATACTCCAGCAACAACAGACTGCCTGCATTGGCAAAATCAAATGTCTTGCCATGCTTTCATGCTCATGGAACATTTACAAATGTTGTTTTCTTCATGAAACCTTTTCAAAAAGGAGTTAATGATATCCATCCTCCAGAGTTCACAGTGCATTGTTTTTACCTGTTTTCATTCAACCCTTTTTCACCACTAGCCCTACTGTCCCCTCCCTTCCCATTCACCCCCATATCTGTTGCCTATATCATAAATTTGTTAAAATCAAATTGTGTCTTTTTATCATTGCAAGTACTAACACAGTCAGCTAAAAGAGGTTTCAATAAATATTTGTGCATTAAATTTAGTTCCTAAAACATCCTGAAGAACAGATTAATAGAGTAGCATTGAATAAACAAGTCTATATGCTGACAGAGGTATAATATTAAAGCAATATTATTGCTTTTTAATAACACCGCAGGTTTGGAGCTTCCGTTTTACATACAGTGTTACCTCTGCCTTTCTGAAAGCTGTTGGCAACTCAGATTTACTCTAAGTGTTATCCATTGGAAAATATCCATTATGAAGTAATCACAAGACAGTTTTCAACATATTGCAGTCTTAGAGAATGCTATCACAGGTGATCTCAAAGCCCACATTTCATTCAGCTGAAGGCTGTATCAGAAAAAAAGGGGAAAAAAAGGAAAGAAAAGATACCCAGAGCCCAAACTACTTCTTCATTTTCAAAGATGGCTCTCAAATATAGCCTCAAATAGAATTCCACTTCTCACCCTCAGTCACGGCGAATGGATTATAGAATAGCCAATCCATGATTCCACTCTGCTGTTGTGTTGGGGCTTCCACCCAGGCCCTATGACTTTCTGAAATCCATTCAGTGTCTAGGTATGATTGAAGGTACAAGAAACATTAAAAGTCACTTTTTAGAAATCAACTGCTTCATTCAAATGTTTTGGCCTCTTAAAAAATAGTCTTAGAGAAAAGTGGACTTTATTGATGCTGCCATTATTTAAAGCATATTTGGAATTCATATTTGGAATATGGCATGCCCTTTCAAATACTTCCAATAAAAAGAAGTCTTCATGTTTGAGCACTTGGCTTTTGGAATGAGCCAGAAGCAATTCAGAGCTGAGCCCTGTATGTGAATGAGGTGAGTGAGAAATAGAGCAACCACTCGTGAGCTAATTATCCAATTGAAAGAGAGCTCTGAGCTTCATTTATACCTAGATTCTAAGGACTGGGGAGTTTAAATTACTTGGAGAGGTAAAATTACATCATTTGATAAAATAAATGGTGACTTCAAAGTAACAAAAAATTTTTTTCTGTAACTTATAAACCAAATTAAATGGTTATTACACTATCTAATGTATTGCTTTTTAACTAAAAAAATCATAACATTAGATAATTAGTATATATGGTAATGATATATAGATGACATTAGATAATGATATGGTATATATGGTAATGATATATAGATAACATTAGATAATATCAGAATGACCCATACCTTACCTGTCCTCAGCAAAACTGTTTTCACTCTTCCAAGCCATCTTCCACCTGCATAAATTTAATGAAACTGGATTGGAACATGCATACCATTTTGTCTTCTAGTTTTGTTTGTCTGTTTAACATGTAAGTGTTTCACGGATATTTTAACAATCAAGTAATATTCTACCCCTTATATTTACCATTACTTATTCCAAAACAATACCTTTAATAATGCTGGACATGCCAATGGTATTTAACATCTTGTCATTATTGATAACACTATAATAAGCTTATTATAATACTATAATAAGCAAAATAGATAATTTCTACCAAGTACCAAAAATATATTCATATCCTTTGAACCTGTGGTTTCAGCCTAGAAATTGACTTCTGTATATTAATTCTTACATTATAATTCATCCGTTGCAAATATATACATAAAAATATATCTAATGTGTCTATTGTCCTGATCTTCTAAAGAAGCAAGTTTTCCAACATGGAGGATAACTGAGGTGACTATATACTACTGTACCAGAAATGCTAGAGGTCTGGGTTTATAAAAGACACTCTGAATTCTAGGTGTGGAAAGAAAAGTTTCTAACCCAGGAGAGAAAGTAACAAATCTCCTGTTAGAGAAAAAGTTCAGAGTCACTGTGCACTTTTATAATAAGCAGTTCATAAGAGGGATCAAAAAAAGACTCAGCATATTAAGTGAAAGAAGTATTATATGGTCTTCAATATTCATTTTCAAGATTATTCTTATTGTTTTCATAATTAAAATTAAAACATTATTTGTCCAGTGATCTCTACATTTTTTATTAGTGGTCCATACTAATGATAGCTATCAAGAAATATTATTAATTAAACATTATTACAATAATAAGTACCAAACCACACAAAGAAGTGTTTCTTTCCTCGGTGGTGTTGCAAAGTGACAGAAGTTTATGGCTATGAAAGTCTGTGACATAATTAAAAGAGCACTAAACAAGGAGTCAAAACCATATGAATCCTAGTTCTGGCTATGCTGCAAACAGGCTGTAGGGCACCAGCAGAATCACTCGCAAGTTATTTGGGGACTCATTTTCTTAAAGAAAAATATAAATAAGTAGAAATTGTGTACCCCAAACACATTCACTGCTGAGCACTTAAAACTAGAATTCCCCTTTGAAGGAAGATGAGCAAGGTGAAGGAAGGCTTAGGCAAACAGAATACCCAGAAGTGGGGCCAGCCTTGAAAAGCTACAGAAACAGTTTCCTGATAGATGACATGACTTAAGGAAAGCCATCAGGAAACATCCTAAACACAAATGCCTAAGTTCTATACACTCTCCAGTACTTTTGTGATACCTGATTAATGGTGCCTCTTCTGGGTCTTGCAGGCCTAGAGGTCTTCTGGCTCTTGATACTGAATGCTAATATGACTTTGGGGTCTACACATTAAACTAAAAATAAAAACCTCCAAATGGAACTCCAAAGTGGGATTAAACACCTGATATTGGGTTTAGAGAGAAGAATGAAGGATAAAATTACCAGAAGTGGGGAGAAGGGATGTGGATGGACAATGCACCAAAAATACATAGAAAATTATACCATGTGAGCAAAAGTTGGTCCTACCTAAAAGAAGTTTAAAGTTTTGCTTTATAGTTCATTAAATTAAACATGCCAGCCTAATAGCAATATTCTTAAAAATAGAAAACTTGTCCTTCCTGCTTTGCATTATTCTTGAACACCCAAGATAAAGCATTTAATACAATACACATTCAATAAACATTTGTAGTCTGACTTAAGAACTCTGTCCACAGAAAAAGCCCAAATGGTTTAGATGACAAAACAAAAGATATCATAGGAAAAAATATAATCTATTTCGGCAGCCTGACAAAAATTAAGTAGAATTAAAATAAAATTCAGATTAGAAGCATTACCATAAAAATATAAAATGAAAGCAAGGAAAGAGCACTCAAGCTTTTGTACAAAGATGGACATCTCCAGTTTGTTTATATTTTTGTTTTTTCCAGATAATGCTGGCATAAAGTGGTTGCTATAGCAGTTGTTTTATTTGTATAAATTTAAGGCGCACAAGTGCAGTTTTGTTAAATTGATACTTTGTATGGTGGTGAACCCCAGGCTTTTAGTGTTACCAATACCTGAATGATGTAAATTGTACCCAACAGATAATTTCTCATCCCTCAACTCCCTCTCATCCTCCCAACTTCTGGAGTCTCCAGTGGCTTTGATTCCGCTCTGTATGTTCATGTGTAGCTCCCACTTATAAGTGAGAACATGAGGTATTTGGCTTTCTGTTTCTGAGTCATTTCACTTAAGATAATGGCCTCCAGTTCCACCCATGCTGTTACAAAAGACATTTCTTTCTTTCCTATGGCTGAGTAGAATTCCATTATACACACACACACACACACACACACACACACACACCTTATTCCAACATGGAGGATATCTTGTATTTATATATATATATATAAATATATATAAATATATATAACTATATATAAATATATAGTTATAAATATATATAAATATATTTAAATATATAAAAATATATATTATATATATTTACATATATAAATATATTTAAATATATAAAAATATATATTATATATATTTATATATATAAATACAAGATATCCTCCATGTTGGAATAAGGTGTGTGTGTGTATATATGTGTGTGTGTATATGTGTATATATATATTTATATATATATTATATATTTTATATTTATATATTTTATATATATTTATATATATTTTATATATATATTTATATATACACACACATATTACATGCACGCACACACAACACATTTTCTTTATCCAATCATATTTTAATGGACACTTAGGTTGATTCCATGACTTGCTATTGTGGATAGTGCTGCCATCGATATATGAGTGCAGATGTCTTTTTTATATAATTTATTTTCCTTTGGGTAGATACCCCGTAGTGGGATTGCTGGATTGAATGGTAGTTCTGTTTTTAGTTATTTGAGAAATCTCCATACTGTTTTCCCTGGAGACTGTACAAGGAACTCAACTCAATAGCAACAACAACAACAAAAAACAACCTCATTAAAAAGTGGGCAAAGGACACGAGTAGACATTTTCCAAAAGAACATACAAATGGCCATCAAGGGTATGAAAAAATTCCCAGCATCACTAATCACCAAAGAAATGCAAATTAAAACCACAATGAGATATACAATGAGATACCATCATACACCAGTCAGGATGGCCATTATTAAAAAGTCAAAAAATAACAAATGTTGGTGATGATGAGGAGAAAAAGAAATGATTTTTTTTTTTTTTTTGAGACAGAGTCTCGCCCTGTCACCCAGGTTGGAGTGCAATGGCATGATCTCGGCTCACTGCAACCTCTGCCTCCCAGGTTCAAGCAATTCTCCTGCTTCAGCCTCCTGAGTAGCTGGGATTATAGGCATGCACCACCACGCCTGTCTGATTTGTGTGTGTGTGTGTGTGTGTGTGTCTTTAGTAGAGACAGGGTTTCACTATTTTGGCCAGGCTGGTCTTGAACTCCTGACCTCGTGATCTGCCCACCTCAGCCTCCTAAAGTGCTGGGATTACAGGCATGAGCCACTGCTTTTTACACTGTTGGTGGTAATGTAAATTAATACAATCTTTATAGTTTTTTTTTTGTTTTTTTTTTTTTTTGTAAATGACAGAACTCCCACTACAAAGAAAAGATCCCCCTCCCTCTTTGGGCTTCAGTATACTTGCATGACATGACTCAAAAATTAAAGGAAGGAAGGGGAGACGGAGGAAGAGAGGAAATTATTCTATTGAAGGAATCTGGTCATTTTAAAGATCTCTTACTACAATAAAAAATTTTATAGATAAAATGAATTTTTGCTTATGCTTTTGTGGTTAAAGCAAGAAAAAAATACATTTTTCCAGTTGAAATTCATGCCGCTTTAATTGAAGTTTTTCAGCTATACATAATCCTTCTTTATTTATCTGGCACATCCTCTCTGAGACTAAAACTTCCCCCCCACTCTTTATTGTCTGAACTCCCATCCCCAGTAAATTAATTCATTTGAATAGGTATTTGTTGAACAAGATATGGTTTCACTGAAATTAACTCACCAACAAAGGGGCTCTTGGAAGGAAAATAGAGTTGGACTGGGGAGGGAAAAAAGTGCAAGGGTAAAGAGAACTTCATATTCCTGTTCACTTGAAAAGACAGAAGGGCTGCCTGCACTTTCCTGCTCTACATCTCTACACTTGGTTCAACACTCCTGTTGTCCTACCCTTCCCAGCAGGCTATTGCCTCCGCTGTCTGAACCATGTTTGCGTCCTCCAAAATTCGTATGTTGAAATTCTAACTCTTAATGTGATTTTATTAGCAGGTGGAGACTTTGAGAGATGATTAAGGAGTGCCTAACCCTCATGAATGGGATTAGTGCCCTTATAAAAAGAGGAACAAGGGATCTCTCTCTCCCTCTCTCTCTCTCTCTCTCTCTCTCTCTCTCTCTCTCCTCTCTACCATGTGAGGACACAATGAGAAGACCACCTCTACAACCAGGGAGAGGGCCCTCACCACACGTTGAATCTGCCAGCATCTTGGTCTTGGACTTCCCAGGCTACAGAACTGTGAGAAATAAATTTCTGTTGTTTAGCCACCCCATCTGTGGTATTCTGTTATAGCAGCCCATCTAGCTCCCTCTGACTCTACCACTTCAAAACACACACACGCTCACACACACATACACACTTTTCTGATTTAGTAATAATAATGGTGTCAAACATTCACTGAGCATTTAATGTGCAAGTATTGTGCTAAATGTTTTACAAACCTAATTGTCCTCTTCAATCCTCACCATAAACCACAAGTTAAGTACTACTGTAACTGAAATGCAGGTTCACTCCCTCGCCACTTGCGGAGTCCAATTAACAAGAGCAAGGTCTGGTATTAAAAAAGTGACTTTTTAATTCCAAAGCTAGTTTAAAGGAAGAAGTACAGGCTTCCTGCCTTAATGTACTGCTTTGCTTTTGGAGCAGAAAGTGAGTGCTTTTAAAAGGGGATGTGGCATGAATGGCATGCAGGAGATGAAGCAAGCATATGGGAGTCCACTTAACTCTCTTCAGTGCTTTATCTACCGGGCAGTGAGTTGGCATCTTCATGGGCAGAACTAGGTTGTAAAAGTGTCCAGAACTCTCCAGGTGGGAGAGAGTTTCATAGTGGGCATACTTTGGATTGTAAATTAACTGTTATCTCTTGAAGCAACTTTATGGTAGGTGAGAGTTCTGTGCTGGAGCTTCTAAGCATATAGATGCAGTTGCCCTGTAAGGAGCGTCTGGTGAAGGGGAGGTAAAATGTTATAACTGCATTTCTAAAGAGCTAAGTGGGAAGTGGGGAGCAGGGGAAAATGGGGAAAGGAGAAAAATAATTAAAATAATAACTCATTCTGTTTTTTCTTAGAAAAATAGGGGTACTCAGTTACACTACTTTAGCTCAATATTACCCATGGAAAACTCAGGCACAAAAAGGATATGATCTCCCCAACATCACACAGCTAGCAAGTGGTAAAGTTTGAAACAAAGCTGTCTCCAGAGCTTGTGGATTTTTCTCCTTCCCATATGCATAAGCTTGGGGAGAGGGAAGGAAATCTTTGCCTGATCCTACCATCCAATTAAGCAATTTTCCAATTTTCTTTCCTTCAACCAGTCTACACCAACTGTTTATACATTGACTACTTGTTCCTTCTTCTCCTTCCTTTTAATTCATTCATCTCGTTATTCATTCATTTAGCTGTGTTAATATATCAGCTGCTGGAGATACAAGGATAGAAAAGCCATAGTACCTATTTTCAAGGTACTTATAACATAGAAGGAAGAGAAAGACCTTTACAAATACTACAAGGTATGATACATTGCATGCCATAAAAGATATATATATAAACACACTTATTGAAGTACCGAGAAGCAAACAGTTAACTGAATAAAGATGAAGCACTACCTGACTTTCTCTGTTACAAGAAGCACAGGTGAGAGGACCATTGAAAAGGCCTTTCCCTAATTCATTTATTTTGTGGCCTCCTCATGGACTTGACTCTGTTGATTATCTTCTTAGAACTACCTGCTTCTTTTGTCTTCTGTAGTATTGCATTGTCTTACCCATTTGTTCATGTAATGAGTATTTACTGAGCACCTATTCAATGTCAGACACTATTCTAGGCATTGGGAGTGCATAAACCACCTTTCTTTTTCTTTTTCTTTTTCTTTTAACAAGGTCTTGCTCTATAGCTCAGGCCAGAGTGCAATGGTGTGATCTTGGCTCACTGCAACCTCTGCCTCCTGGGCTTAAGGGATCCTCCCACCTCAGCCTCCTGAGTAGCTGGGACTACAGGCGTGCACCATCATACCCAGCCAAAAACATTTTATACACACACACACACATCAGTTGGTGATAGAAATACAAAGAAAAATAAAGCACAATAAGAAAAATAGAAAGGAATGGGTGGGGAGGGATGCTGTTTCACAGAGGTTAGGCAGGGAGGGTATCTCTGAGAAGGCGATATATCGGGAGAGAGCTGAAGGAAGTGAAGGATTGAGCCATGTGGCCGGCTGAAGGAAGTTTCCACACACAGAACAGCAGGTCCTGAGATGAAAGCATGCTTAGTATGTTCAAAGAACAGCAAAAAGTGAGGAAGATATCAAGTGTAAATGAGACCAGAAGGTTACCAGATCATGTAGGTCATGGCAGGGACTGAGGGTTTCTGGCAGAAAAGAAATACACTCTAATTTAATGTTCTAAGCAAATCACTTTTGCTCTTAGGAGAATAAACTCCACGTTGGAAAAGGTACCAGAGAGAGACCAACTTGGAGGCTGTTGCAATGGCTTTAGGAAAAGAAGGTGGTCATTTTGTCAAGGGAGCCAACAGGGACGGGCTGAGGATTGTTTTCCTCCTACCTCTCTGCGGCTCCTGTGCCATCTTCTTAACTCGTTTATCTTGCTCTTCTGATGTTTTAACATTCATTCATTTTTTGAGTCTTGGACCTTTGCCTTTTCTTCTCCCCATACTGTCTCTCTTAGAAAATTTGTCTGTCGCCAAGCTACCTCTTTCAGAGTATGGCCCCGGGGCTTCTCCTATGAGCAGACAATTTCCATTTGGCTGGCCCTGACTCTCTGTGTTCAAGTTTTAAGACAAACTAGTGCTAATAAATGATGCCATGTGATTGCATGGCTGTCACCTCATATTCATTTGCTAAAATTTAACTCATCTTCCTGTCAAACTGAATGCCTTGTCTGATTGTATGTGTGTCTGTGTGTGCGTGTGTATGTGTGTGTGTGTCCATCAATCTCCTAGCCAGCCAAGCTTGAACTTGTTCTACGCCCATCCTCAGCTATAATTCTGACCTACTTTGGTTCTTTCTCATTGCGTTTTCTCCACTAACTCTTCTATCACCATAGTACTCATGCTTGGACAATTTTTCATAAGCTCAAATACTTTAGAATTGTAAAGTCTCTGGCTATCGTCAGCCTGGCAAGGAGAAAAAAATGAAGGAAGGGGGTTGGACTAAATCTAAGTCAGCGGTTTTCATCTGTGTTAATCAGACACCCAGGTTCCACAGAGCTGCCTGGATAGCTGCCAGAATCAAGCAGTAAGAGACCTTCAGGCTGTGGCTCCAGTCCCCAGCTCCAACCCTGCTTAACTCACAGCAGCTCTTTCATTATCTGTTTTATACGTGAGTTCCAAGTATGATCACATCTGAAAATTTGTACCATTACCCTAAGAAAAAAGTTCAAAAACCATTGTTAGGTGACTTTTTAAGGTCCTCATTAGCTCTAAATTTTTAATCCTTTGGACTCTAGTAATATAGTAACAGTATTAGAGAAAAGAAATGTCTAGTTTAGACTTCTACTTATTACGTGCATTTTTAGATCAGTTACGGCTCTGACAACTTGAAAAGTCTGAATGAGTTTAGGGTAAAATACAGAAACCATTCTGGGTTTCCAGCAGTCAACAGTACAGTGTAATAAACCTATAAAAGCCCAGAATATTTGTAATGAAGTTGGGGAACATTTCTAACACAACACACTTTCCGAAGTCCATAAGAGCTCAACCTTCTTGCCAAACTGAATCACATTCTGATAAAATGCTTTCCATAGTCCATCTGTGTTTAAACAGAGGGAAGATATGAGGAGTGGGAATTTCCAGGTTCCTATGTCCCACAGACATTTGATCTTTTTTTGGCTTTTTCTTTGTTTCATGCAACTTTGCAAAAGTAAATAAATAAATACCATTTAACATGCCTAAACAGCTGTTCTGGCCTTCATGGTTTGGGAGGTGGAATGCAGTTCAACGGGTTCTGGTTAGTTAGGTTTCTATGTGACCAGTTGCTGAGAGAAACCTTACAGGCAGAGTGCCTCAAAGCCTTACCTCACTCACATAGTAGGGCAGCTGAGACTTCACCAGGGCTCAAGTCTTGGAAAGTGATTTTTCTCTTCAATTCTGGTCACTAACCTGACTTTTCTGCACCTGATTAACTCTGGGACTACAGGAATTCATCTAGGCCTTATTATCCTTATCTATACACAAAGATTTTATGCCTGATGACTTAAAGCTGGCTGGAGCATTGGAAATGTATCTAATCTGAATTAAGATGTCCTGTAAGTGTTGTATGATACACACTGACTTTTGAAGACTTACTGAGAAAAGAATATATAAAATATCTCTTTAATAATTTTGTATTAATTATATCTTGGCATAATATTTGGATATATTGGTTTAAATAAAATAAATTATTAAAATTAGTTTTACCTGTTTCACTTTACTTTTTTATTTTGGCTGCTTGAAAATTTAAAATTACATACATGGCTCACATTAAATATCTGTGGACAGCGCTGATCTACACCCTAGAGGCACTGTGGCATACTGAAAGCACATAATATTTAGTGTCAGAAAAACCTAAATCAAGTTTCTGGTTTTATAATTTCTTTAGGTAGGTCACTTAGCACAAACGCTAACTTTTCCATTGACCTTAGCAAGTTATTACATCTCTGTGTGCCTCACATAAAATGAATTTTCTCTTCAGTAAAATGGAATCATAAAACCTACCTTATAAGGTTTTGTGAAAATGAAATAATAAATGTGAAGAACAAAACCTGTCATATTAATAGTACCATATAACTATTAATTATTCATATCTCTCAACTTGGTTTTCATTACATTGAAAGGAGAATGATACTTTAAAGGATGAGGTTATAATCCAATGAAATAATACATGTAAAATTAATTTATAAATCATTACAACTAGGCGCATATGAGTAACGGTTCAGCTCTAAAAGTCAACAAATCTAGGCAATGCTTGATGGTCATTACCAAGTTCAAGTCCTGCCAAAGTAGATATAAGTTCAGCTTTCACACCTTTTCACTCTAGTGTTTCAGTAAGTTGGTCTACTATGCATACTTTTTTATTCTATTACAGACTGTGTTCAAAGTGAAGTTTTAGTAAAAAGTCAAAAAAGCTCAGGATTGATGTTAACCTCACCCAATACTTGTGTATATACACACATGCTGGGCATTTAACTTGCTTTCTCAATAATTTTGATACTGCATAGTTACTAGGTTGACTTGAGGCTTTCTATAACATATTGTCCTTTAGAAGTATGTGGACATACTGTGAGAAAAAAGATTTCAATCATAATATATGGTACAGCTCCTGAAGGGAAGGCAGAGATTATTTTTTAATTTATTTTCAAAGATGCGTAAGTGCTTGAAGATTTATTAGGAGAAATAGATTCAAAAGAGTCATTTAATTTTTAATTGTGATAATTTTTTTGATGAGACGGTATCACTCTGCAGCCTAGGCTGGAATACAGTGGCACCATCATAGCTCACTGCAACCTTGAACTCCTGGGTTCAAGGGATCCTCCCACCTCAGCCTGTGGAGTAAAGTTAAGATTACAGCTGTGTGACACTGTGCCCAGCTAATTTTTTTATTTTATTTATTTTATTTTTATTCAGTAGAAACGAGGTCTTACTATGTTTCCCAGGCTGGTCTTGAACTACCAGCCTCAAGCTACACTCCTACCTTGTGCTGGGATTACAAGAATGAGCCACCACCCCCGGCCCTATGATAATTTTTTAAAATGGAAACATTCATTCATTTATTCCACTAATAATTGCTGAATGCCTACCTTGTAACAGGCACTACTATAGGAACAGGGACACAAAGACAGTCAACCCAGACTCAGATCTTGTCTTCTTGGAGCTATGCAGTATCAAAATTACAGAGACAGCAAGTTAAATATCAAGCATATGTGTATATACATACACAACTTCAAGGGTGACGTTGGCATGCATCAATCCAACTTCCTTGACTTTTTACTAAAACACTATTTTGAACATAGTTTGTGAGTAGGATCAAAAATTCAGTCCATCTCTTCACCAAATGTCAAGTTATGTATGTTCTTCTGTAGTAGTAAGACTCATCATGAAACTCCAGCAAGAATCTCACCTATTTGATGCCAGATGGCACAAAAAACAAACCATTTATAGAGTGGAGAACAAGTAGACTATACACAAAAGTACTGCTGCTGCATGATTTCTAGTCTTTCAACTAAGTGCCAAGGATTTATGTGCTTTAACTCCCATTAGAATTTACAGAAATCAACAGCGCATGAACGGAATAAACAATCCTTAACTGGAAAATGACGTCTTGAAGATCCCCAAGATAAAAGCGTGCCTTTTATATGTTTTTGATAAGGATTTTTTTAAATTGACAAACAATAATCGTCTATATTTATGGGGTATAATGGGATGTTTTGATCTATGTATACATTATAGAAAGAGTCTATCAAGCTAATCAACATATTAGTCACCTCACTAATTTATCTTTTGTTGTGATGAGAACATAAAAAATCTATTTTAACAATTTTGAAATATGCAATACATTATTATTAACTGTGGTCACCTGCAGTGCAATAGGTCAGTAAAACATTTTCCTCCAGTCTAACTGAAACTTTGTACCCTTTGATTAACATATTCCCTTTCTCCATCCTTCTCCCTGCCATCCATTGCCTCTGGTAACCACTGTTCTACTCTCTGTTTCTGCGAGATTGACTTTTTTAGACTCCACAAATAGATCACAGTATTTATTTTTCTGTGCCTAGTTAATTTCACTTAGCATAATATCCTCCAATTCCATCTATGTTGTCACAAAAGACAGAATTTCTTTATTTTTTAAGATTGTGTATTACTACATGGTGTATATATACCACATTTTCTTCATATATTTATCCACAGTGATGGATACGTTGCTTCCATCAAAGGAAGTAATAGCTTTGTCTATTCATTCACAATGATGGATAGGTTGGCTATTGTGAATAATGTTGAAATGAACATGGGAGTACAGATATTTCTTGGACATACTGATTTCAATTCCTTTGGATATATACCCAGAAGTGGGATTGCTGGATGATATGGAAATTCTATTTTTAGTTTTTTAAGGAAGCTTCATATTATTTTCCAAAATGGCTGTACCACTTTACATCTCCACTAACAGTATACAGGGGCTCCCTTTTCTCCACATCCTTGCCAATACTAGTTATCACTCATCTTGTTGTTAAGAGCCATTCTAAGGGCCTTTTAAAATCAAATTTTAGAACTGTTTAGATTGTAAGTGGAGAGCAGATCACACAATGTTCTGACTTTGCTTATTGGAGGCTGACTGCTGAAGAGCTGCCTGGTGTAGTGGAAAACACTCTCTGGCCCGAGTCTGCAGACCAACTGGGTCTTAGTCCCTGACTCAAGCATAAATGTTTTACATGTAGAAGAGCCAATGTATGTGAAAGTATTTTATATAATGCTATGCAGCATATACAACTGTACCTGTATACAGAACATTCCTGAACTGGTGAATGCCTGAGAGGAAATTTTAAATTTTATGTGATGGAATTGTTGTTTTTAATTAACTGATCGGATCTACTATGAAAGAAATGCAAAAGACCCATGGCTCCCTTAGAAGAAACCTGCTAGAAAAAAGTTGGAGCTTACAAAGACCTGTGGTTGTTGAAGGATTTAATACAAGTAAAAACAAAATGATAGCAGTCCTGGAGCTGCACACCACACCCCCATAGTAACTGGAGGAGGCACCAGACTAATTAAAATTGCCAGAAATTTCCACATTCAGAATTCTCACAAGAGGATAGGTCATTTACCCGGATGCCTTCCAGTTTTTTACCTGGACTACTGCCTTTCAGTTTACCTAGACAACTGTTTGCCCAAACAACTAGAAACTAATCCTGAAAGTGTTAGAATCATACCTTTATTCTACAATCACAATCGGGATTAAGTGATATGAAATGCACAAGTCAAAACATATTGGAACCCTGGGCATGGGACCATTCCTACCTCCACCTCCTAAGCTTGTTCACATGCCCACCACTATGCAGTATAGTGCCATTCAGAGAGATGATGGGTAACAGCTAGAAGTACAGATTATAGAATTTGTAGATGTAAGGCATTTGGTATTTTCAATCTCTATAAACAAGACACATTTTTCATAATACGTGCATGCAACAGTATTCTTTATATCCCTTAGAAATGATTAACGGCCCATTAACTATAGCCATGCCAGAAAACAACTGCTATAAATCACATATCAACTGTCAATACAGGATGCTGTGATTCTAGATCAGATAAAGGAGAAAGGCAATCCCAACCAAATTCTATGTGCTGAAATTATATCACCCAGCCCTAGTCATTACTACCTTCTGAAAGTGAGCTGCTGCCGCCCTGTTTTGAATTGTTGGAGGTTTCGTTCTGTGCTTCCTTGTTCCAGAGATTAGAAAATCTTATTATCAGCTCTGAACTGTGTTCAAGCTTAGAGGACTTAAAGAGTGATTTGGCTGGTAGCTTTTTTTTTATTATATTCAATTAGTAAGATGAATAAGCACTATTTTATATGAGAACTTCTTATGTTCAGCTCTAATTTATGCTTGGTAAAGAAGGGGAAGGAATATCTTTTAAAAGGAGGACAAAGAAAATGCAATAAACTATAATCCTGATTTTTACCCAAGATTAACATCATCTTGCAGTCTTTTTCTGAGAAACAACCAGTTTCTGTTTCAACCCCTTTGCTTTCTGTCCTATAGGTAATTATTAATAATCCACAGGCAAAATTAGAGCAGAAAGTATCCATCATTTAAAAGTTTATTTTTATACTATTGAGCTTTTTACTTCTGTACTGATAAATTAAGGTCTTTTTTTCAGGATGCACCACCCTTTTGGCTATTAAAAAATTAATGATCCAAATTAAAGTCCAAAGCCAGATAAAAGCTGCAGATATTTTGTCATCTATTTGAGCACCAGGTTATGAGCTCAAGGCATAAAATATCTGCTCTTGGCTCATAATCTGCATGACAGACATTAACTTATTAGAAAATGGTTTAAAATTACTGAGTAGTAAAGCAAATAAAGAATTATGTAAACGCTAATGTAATAAGGCTAAAAAGCAAACAAAATTCCCTCAAATCCAGAGTAAATCTTTGGCCAAAAAAACTTTCTGCCCATCATACAAATAATTATCCCAACCTTATGAAATTAAGAAAAACATGGAGTCCAGTTGGAGCCTGTGCCATTGTCTTTCTTCCTCTTTTATATCCTCCCCAACAGTGCCTACTACAGCATTTTTTATGTAGTAGGGTCATAAATTCCCATTGAACAAAAATGTATCCAGTATCTTTGATGTGCCAGGGATGAATAGTGACAAAATAATAGAGCTCATATTCTCATGGAGTCTAGAACATTCATTAAGTGAATGAAATAATGCTACCCCCAGGACTTATTCTTAATATAGTCCTTTTTAATGTGAAATTAGACAGATGATAGCATACTTCTGTTTTAACCAAATGTTAACCAAATTAAAGTAGTAACCATATTTATGAGGGGTGGGAATTTTAGTTTTGTCTTTGTTTTTATTTTATAGGGTTAAGTTGTAAAGTTTAAAAAAAAATAAGAGAAATGAAAGTGGAAGGACTAAACAGAATGCAAGTTTGGTTAGTCAATATGAGAAGCTCTTTAATTAGAGTCTAAGATAACTTTACTTATCTTAGATCCTTTACTTTCAGCCATGTTTTAATTACGTTCATTTGTCAAAAAGCTGAACACCACAAAAGCTTAAATAACCATAATCTGCTCATATCATATAACACATGCTCATAATAATGGTCCTAATGCACTGTATGACTGAGATAACCTCTGAATAGTCAAAGAAAAAATACTTCATACTTCTAGAGTTTTAAAAATTATATTGCATTTTTATTTCATGAAAATTTACAATGCATGTAAGATATGTGTGACTCTCCATTAACCTCAATATTAAATTAACTTCCTATTTCTTAATTATTTTACCAACACTTGCTTCTTCTTCCCACCTACCCTTCCAATACATTCACATGCACACACATTCACACCCATGACATACCCATGTGGGGGTCACTTTTTTGTTTTACATGGTTGAGGCTAACCGCATCTTAAAAAAAAAAAAGGCAAAGCTGAATGAGACAATTTAGAATATTTTAACAGAAAAAGGGCTTTTCCTCTAAGCTCTAAAGTTTTACCAGGCACTAGTAGGAAAACTTGCATTTGCTCTTCTCATTCACAGGGTCACATTTCAGTAATGTGTAATATAAAAAGAGCTTAAAGACTTCCAGAAGAAGAAACCATGCTGTATTTATTTAAATAACCATCACTTTGTTCATAAAACATCAAGAGAATTCACTCAAACCTTTATCACTGAGACAGTGCTGTCATTAATGACAAAATAGTTTCTTAGCCTGACCTCATAAGCCTTTAAGCCTGTGTCCCTCACTTGTTAATCCCTTATAGTCTGACTTTCTCTTCTGAAACTGCTTTCTCAAAGATTGCTAATGATTTTCATCATCCCCAGATCCAAGGATATCTTCTTATGTGTTTTTCTTCTAAATCTCCGAGTCACAACTGACACTGATGACCACTCCTTCTTTGAAATTCTCTCCTCCCTCAGGGTCTATAACATAGATGATCCTCCTCTTTTGGTTTGTTTTATGTCTGGTTCTTCCATGATCTTCCTGTTTCTTATATGTAGGCATTCTCTTTGTTTTTTGGTTTGTTCAGATGGAGGGGAATGGGCATACTTGTTTATCTATTTAACCTCAACCTTCTTCTCTCTCAGCAATCTCTCCCTTGGCAATGCCGCCCAATAGTTTCTCTATAAGTACTTTCTGAATTTGGGCTCTTCACTTCCAACTAAGTATAACACATCAACATTTGAATATTCCACCAGCATTTCACATTCAGCATGTCTAAAATTAACTCACTCTTTTCCTTACCAAACCAGCTCCTTCCTTTTTAACTTTTGTTTCCTCTGGTTAATGGTGTCTTCTGCCTCCCAGTTCTTCTCCAAGTTCCAAACCTGAGAGTCTGTTCTTACCCCTTGATCTCCTTTGCTTCCCTGAGCCAATTACTCCATAAGAAATATGGCTCCTCTTACTTTGCTTCTCTTCATTTTTCCTGCTCCACTTCCATCAGTTCAGGCTTTCCCTACTGTGACGTGTCCACCTGTAAACTGGTCCTACCTCCCGATTTCTTATTTCTTGCAAGGTCTAGCACAGTGCCTCATACAGAGTAGGAGGAGCTCAAGAAATATTTGTTAAATAAATTGAACAAAGGAACAAGTCTTAAAGTTTTCTGAGAGGAGGAAATTGTCAACATAAAGGGAAGAAGAAAAGGCAAACTGCTGAGTTTTCAAAAGCCTGGCAGTTAACTTTAAAATTAAAAATGAATTACATTAACACTTTGGAACCTGTTATGGGGCAGAGCAGAGAGAAAAGTCTAACAAATGAACCTTCTAGCATTTTGGAAAGAAACATGCCAGATTTTTAATCTTTTAAAAACTCATTAACATTCTGAAAAAATTTCACTGTTTGGGATGTTCACAATTATAGTTATTCCCAACTCCCAAGTCATGATTTGTCTAGCATATTATTTCACCATTCTGCTCCTCAAAGAGATGAATATAATGCCCTAAAAACTTTCAGTTACTTAGATGTCACTGTGAAAAAGGTCACTTTCTGCAGCAATTAAGATGTGAAAACCATTATCAACTAAGACATGAAAACCATTATCAAAAAAGGGAGATGTATAATCTCTCTTTCTATTGGTCACTTATTCCAGGTTGGTGATTTTTTTTTAAATAATCAATCAGAAAGTGTTTCTGTGCAAAAACCCCCAATGAGAGCCTTTCTTACCAAGATAGCTAAAGTTTTTTTTTTCCCAGTCTTTTTTTTTTTTTTAATTATACTTTACGTTTTAGGGTACATGTGCACAATGTGCAGGTTAGTTACATATGCATACATGTGCCATGCTGGTGTGCTGCACCCATTAACTCATCATTTAGCATTAGGTATATCTCCTAAAGCTATCCCTCCCCCCTCCCCCCACCCCACAACAGTCCCCAGAGTGTGATGTTCCCCTTCCTGTGTCCATGTGTTCTCATTGTTCAATTCCCACCTGTGAGTGAGAATATGTGGTGTTTGGTTTTTTGTTCTTGTGATAGTTTACTGAGAATGATGATTTCCAATTTCATTCATGTCCCTACAAAGGACATGAACTCATCATTTTTTATGGCTGCATAGTATTCCATGGTGTATATGTGCCACATTTTCTAAATCCAGTCTATCATTGTTGGACATTTGGGTTGGTTCCAAGTCTTTGCTATTGTGAATAGTGCCGCAATAAACATACATGTGCATGTGTCTTTATAGCAGCATGATTTATAGTCCTTTGGGTATATACCCAGTAATGGGATGGCTGGGTCAAATGGTATTTCTAGTTCTAGATCCCTGAGGAATCACCACACTGACTTGCACAATGGTTGAACTAGTTTACAGTCCCACCAACAGTGTAAAAGTGTTCCTGTTTCTCCACATCCTCTCCAGCACCTGTTGTTTCCTGACTTTTTAATGATTGCCATTCGAACTGGTGTGAGATGGTATCTCATTGTGGTTTTGATTTGCATTTCTCTGATGGCCAATGATGGTGAGCATTTTTTCATGTGTTTTTTGGCTACATAAATGTCTTCTTTTGAGAAGCGTCTGTTCATGCAAAAACTGGAAGCATTCCCTTTGAAAACTGGCACAAGACAGGGATGCCCTCTCTCACCACTCCTATTCAACATAGTGTTGGAAGTTCTGGCCAGGGCAATTAGGCAGGAGAAGGAAATAAAGGGTATTCAATTAGGAAAAGAGGAAGTCAAATTGTCCCTGTCTGCAGATGACATGATTGTATATCTAAAAAACCCCACTGTCACAGCCCAAAATCTCCTTAAGCTGATAAGCAACTTCAGCAAAGTCTCAGGATACAAAATCAATGTACAAAAATCACAAGCATTCTTATACATAAATAACAGACAAACAGAGAGCCAAATCATGAGTGAACTCCCATTCACAATTGCTTCAAAGAGAATAAAATACCTAGGAATCCAACTTACAAGGGATGTGAAGGACCTCTTCAAGGAGAAGTACAAACCACTGTTCAATGAAATAAAAGAGGATACAAAGAAATGGAAGAGCATTCCATGCTCATGGGTAGGAAGAATCAATATCATGAAAATGACCATACTGCCCAAGGTAATTTATAGATTCAATGCCATCCCCATCAAGCTACCAATGACTTTCTTCACAGAATTGGAAAAAACTACTTTAAAGTTCATATGGAACCAAAAAAGAGCCCGCATCGCCAAGTCAATCCTAAGCCGAAAGAACAAAGTTGGAGGCATCAAGCTACCTGACTTCAAACTATACTACAAGGCTACAGTAACCAAAACAGCATGGTACTGGTACCAAAACAGAGATATAGATCAATGGAACAGAACAGACGCCTCAGAAATAACGCCGCATATCTACAACTATCTGATCTTTGACAAACCTAAGAAAAACAAGCAATGGGAAAAGGATTCTCTATTTAATAAATGGTGCTGGGAAAACTGACCAGCCATATGTAGAAAGCTGAAACTGGATCCCTTCCTTACACCTTATACAAAAATTAATTCAAGATGGATTAAAGACTTAAACGTTAGACCGAAAACCATAAAAACCCTAGAAGAAAACCTAGGCAATACCATTCAGGACATAGGCATGGGCAAGGACTTCATGTCTAAAACACCAAAAGCAATGGCAACAAAAGCCAAAATTGACAAATGGGATCTAGTTAAACTAAAGAGCTTCTGCACAGCAAAAGACACTACCATCAGAGTGAACAGGCAACCTACAAAATGGGAGAAAATTTTCGCAACCTACTCATCTGACAAAGGGCTAATATCCAGAATCTACAATGAGCTCAAACAAATTTACAAGAAAAAAACAAACAACCCCATCAAAAAGATAGTTAAAGTTTTAAAGAAAACTTTAAAAAGGCTCTTTTTCATATACAACTTTAAATTTTGGTAACAGTTGAGAGCACCAAAGACACACGTTTTATGCTTTAAGCAGAAGACATGTCATTTGAAATGAATTACTAAAAATCTTTTATTTAGAATGTTTATTCTAGTCTATTATTCTCTGCAATTACCAAGTGTTATTTCCTGACACACACTTTCATGTAAACAATGCACAGAAAAAAACACTGTTTTTGCTGATCATGATACTATGCATCAGTTGGCAAAAATCTGAAATAGATTAATTTTGAAAGCAAGGTCATTGGTTTTTAAAATAAAATGGTATGTACTTTTTATAAGAACCAAATTAAGCAAATTATATCAGTTTTCCTAATACACTGATCAATATAGTACATGTAATATTCCAACAGTTTGTAAATCTTCAGAACCCTTCAAACCCAAGGATTAGAGCATATAGTTTTGTTGTATTTGCTTTGTTCTTTTACTCTTAACCTGAAAATCAAATTTTCTGGGTTTGGTGATGTAGGGGATAAAAAAAAAAGAAATTAGTTAAGACCAACTAAGCCTATGATCTAAACAATTTGAAGCAATAACTTTACATTTGAGAACTTGTAGATGATATGAAACTTTTGTCAGCTATTAAACATATTTTTTAAAGCCCTGCTGATGAAAGATGTAGCTTCCAATGTTTTCTCCAGTAGAGTTAATGAGCTAGATAGAAAATATCTCATTAATTTCTTGAGTCCCCTTGTGAGGCAAGAAAATGACATTCTTATCCAACAGCTGGAAAAGCTGAAGAATTAGTGGATGTAACTGTGCTCAACTGCAAAGGAAAAAAATAGCTTTACTATACCCTGAGATGTGGATATGAAAGAATATTGCATACACATATACCCTCTCCCTTATTTTTAAGGAATCAATATCTGCTTAAAGAATAAGACTAGTTAAAACCCTTGGATCTTGGCCCTATAACTTTTGGCAGAGTATATTACTGCTTCATGGCCTGGCAGTGCAGTGACTCTTTTAATTTACTTTAAAATAGCTTTTCCCTAATCTGTACAACCTAACATCTGACCAATCATGAATCTTCAGCAAACTTAAGCCTCTTATTCCATACATTTTTTAAAACTGTAAAAATTCAGGAAATAACTCTTTGCAAAGTACATTGAAGCATTTATTGGGAAGCAAAAAAGCACAAGTTGAAGTGATTTGTAGTTTCATAAAAACGAATTTGACATTTTACTTAGAAGTTGCAAACCACCACATGGTTTTGAGTTTTGAATTCATTTGCTTTGCAAAAAGTGGAATGTTTTATTTGAATGGAAATGCCCTCAAGTTACTTCCAGCATGGCTGTAGGATTGATTTTTCTAGGTTAAGGGAATGCCAAAGTTTAGTGCCTTGTGTATATTCTTTTCGAAAAAAACAAACTATTATCCATGTATTTAAATGGACGTAGGAAATTCAAGAACAAATCAGGGAAATTTAACATCATTTCAGTATTACCAACATAGGGCTTTGTGTAACGACTGTGACATCAAGATAAGGCTTTACCTCGGCTCATCCAATAGAAATACAGTATGTAAATTAACCCATATTATCTGTATGCTGATTGGCCTGAGTTCCCCTGAATGTCACAATCTCACCACCCAGCAATGAGGTATTTTACTGCTGTCTCAAGATCAGATTATTACTGTAGAGAAGATTTTTATTTTTTGTTTCATTAACAGATTATTATAAAGCAAAAAGCATGCAGAAAAAGAAGCAGACGTTTTACATTGGGAATTAATGAAAGCGTGTCTGCTAGTTTTGGGTAGGAGAACTGGGAAGTTGTTGCTTAAAATTTTATATCACCTCCACAAACAAAACTCTTCGGAAATGGTAAAATAAGAAAATGCATGATTCTAGAGGCATTCCTAAGCACCCACGTGTCAGGCTTTGTGGTGTCTGTGGTATCATCCGACCGTTTGGACTGGTGTAAGTTTTACGTATTTGTTATATTTCTAGTATTTTTCATCTGTAATAACAAAGGGGAAAAAAGGAAACTCGTACACATAACTGCTTTGACATCACCCATCATTGGTCAGCGGAACTTGTAAGAAGGGAAAAGGAATACTGTTGCTTGGTGGGGTGGAATGCCAGGAATAGCCATTTAAACATTTTATAAGCCTGATTCTTTAGTGACATCCTTTAAGGTAGACTGAATGTAAATCATATTGTAGTTGTCCTCTGAACTTAGCTTTCTCCCTACTTTTACGCATATTTGCGTGCATTGGAGAATAGAAGATGACTAACAAAGAGAGAGCTGCCCTAACGTGCCTTCCCTTCTTCCCCATTGAAAAGATTTTTAACTGTGGGAAAAAGATAAATAAATAAATAAATAACTTTTTTTCTTTTTTCCCATTCTTTTCTTGTCTTTTTCCAGCTAACCTGCAAATTTAAAGGTTAGCTGGAGACATCACTTAAAAATAAATATATAAAAGAAGCCTCCGGTGGTTTGGACCACCCTAAAAGAAAAGGGAAGAAAGTGTCTGGGGAAGGTTAGGGTTCCGGGAAGCTGAGGGAGGGGGCGGGCGTCACGGGCACTGTGACTTCCTCGTGCGCTGCCTTTGGGAAGAGGATGGGCCTGAGGTCCTGAAAGGGCCTTTCCAGCCCCCCACTACAAATGCGGGGAGGGAAAAGTTCAGAAGCAGCCACGAAGGGACAAAAGCTTAATGCTGCCAGTTGGATTGGACAGGGCAGTCAATAAACCCAGCCAGCTCTGGAGTCAGGTAGGGGTTCCTGCTGGTTCCACAGAGGCTGAAGCAGCCCCGCCGCCGCCCTCGCCACCGCAGCCGCCGCCGCCGCGGCCCCTGCGTTACTGGGGGAGACGGTGCCGCTGCGACAGGGGAGGACGCGGCTGGAGCTCAAGGAGGCTCCAGCGCGCAGGCGCCGCCGAGCCCTGCCTGGATGCTCAGTCAAGGCACTAAGGCAAAAAAAAAAAAAAAAAAAACAAAAAACAAAAAAAAAAAAAAAAAAAAGAAAAAGAAAAAAAGAAAAAAATCAGCAATTTATAGAAAGAAGCTATAGTCTGTCGGGATATCCAACACCAACAGGTAGGAGGATATACTCTTGGTTAAGTTTGGGGGATGTGGGGGAATGCACAGTGTTGATGAAACTGCAGGTTCACCGAGAAAGAGCCCTCCCTCAGGTTGTGTGTGTGTGTGTGTGTGTGTGTGTCTCTGTGTGTGTGTGTGTGTGTGTGTGTGTATGTGTTTTGTGACAATAAACTGCATAATGGAAGTACATTCAGACAATGCATCTTCAGTAGGGCTTACTGAGAGCTCCATTTCTGGAAAGCCTTACAAGACTGAGGAATATCAGACTGCGAATCACCGGGAACGGTTCCTTTGCAGCACAGAAGCAATCTCTCTCCCCATCTTCGCGTATGTAATGCATGTCTCTCTCCCTCTCCCCCTCCTCCACCCTCCCCCCATTATAAATCCAGGGGTGGCGGATTTCAGGTTTCGTAATGTTGCATGATGCGATCGGTATTTACCCGAGGATGTACCGGTGGGGAAATTAAAATCATCGAACGCAGTTTTGCCTGGGCTTCCACCAGCATATTCCGGGCCAGTGAGAAGTGGCAAAAGAAACACGCTTGGTGGGAATAACAGAGGAAGCCGATTTCCCTGGTGTGGTCCAGGCACCTGCGAGACAATGTGCATTTTGTTTTAAAAAGCAGCCACTTGTGATTTGCAACAAAGGTTATCAGTGTAAATGGGAAAGGCTTAATTGCCCAAGAAATACAGGTTCATGTTATATTCATTTGAATCCAGGCAGCCAAGGTTTACAAATGGAAGTGCATTATTCCTCTGGGTGTGTTTCCCTGTCCAATATTTACATTAACCATTTTAATAATCATGTGGGCTTAAAAGATTTGCCAGAAATGGGGGGTAGGGTGGAGAGGGAAAGACAAATGATTAAATCACATCAAATCTTGGGACAAGTAAGTTCCTATTAATTTTGAAGTTAATTTTGAAATTTTGCTTTAAGATGAATCAACAAATACTCTTATGCAGCATGAATAGTGGCACTTAAGATATATTTTGCACGGGTTCTTTGGACCCACATCAAACAGAGAAGCTGCCTGTGAAACACTGACAGATACTAATAGATCTCAAATAAATGTAGGTAGTGTCTCTGCCTCCTAATAGCAATCTTGTAGATTCCATTGCAATTCTAGTGGTTAATTCCTGGACTGGCATATTTTACAAGAATGGGACATTTTATTCCTTCTCTCCTAAAGTTACCCTATCAAATGTATATTGTCCAAAATAGGGACATTTTAAAATTCACTTAGCTTGAAAAACTAAACAAGCCAATTCTCTGAAATCTCGAGCAAAAATATTTAGTAAAGCAAATATTAGTATTCAAAATTAAAACTTTATTTGCTTCCCCATAAGTGAACAGCTTTGTTAGCACTGTCTGACATCATTGCTTGTTAACTTAAGAACTGATAGGTTTTTTTTTTTTTTTTTTTCAGATATTCTGATGGCAAAACAAGTGGAAGAAAAGAGGAAGCATGACTGCAGATCAGATCAGTTCTCTTTGTGGATTATATTTTCAGTAAAATGTATGGATCTATCTTTTCCTTGTTCTTATATCTAGATCATGAGACTTGACTGAGGCTGTATCCTTATCCTCCATCCATCTATGGCGAACTATAGCCATGCAGCTGACAACATTTTGCAAAATCTCTCGCCTCTAACAGCCTTTCTGAAACTGACTTCCTTGGGTTTCATAATAGGAGTCAGCGTGGTGGGCAACCTCCTGATCTCCATTTTGCTAGTGAAAGATAAGACCTTGCATAGAGCACCTTACTACTTCCTGTTGGATCTTTGCTGTTCAGATATCCTCAGATCTGCAATTTGTTTCCCATTTGTGTTCAACTCTGTCAAAAATGGTTCTACCTGGACTTATGGGACTCTGACTTGCAAAGTGATTGCCTTTCTGGGGGTTTTGTCCTGTTTCCACACTGCTTTCATGCTCTTCTGCATCAGTGTCACCAGATATTTAGCTATCGCCCATCACCGCTTCTATACAAAGAGGCTGACCTTTTGGACGTGTCTGGCTGTGATCTGTATGGTGTGGACTCTGTCTGTGGCCATGGCATTTCCCCCGGTTTTAGACGTGGGCACTTACTCATTCATTAGGGAGGAAGATCAATGCACCTTCCAACACCGCTCCTTCAGGGCTAATGATTCCTTAGGATTTATGCTGCTTCTTGCTCTCATCCTCCTAGCCACACAGCTTGTCTACCTCAAGCTGATATTTTTCGTCCACGATCGAAGAAAAATGAAGCCAGTCCAGTTTGTAGCAGCAGTCAGCCAGAACTGGACTTTTCATGGTCCTGGAGCCAGTGGCCAGGCAGCTGCCAATTGGCTAGCAGGATTTGGAAGGGGTCCCACACCACCCACCTTGCTGGGCATCAGGCAAAATGCAAACACCACAGGCAGAAGAAGGCTATTGGTCTTAGACGAGTTCAAAATGGAGAAAAGAATCAGCAGAATGTTCTATATAATGACTTTTCTGTTTCTAACCTTGTGGGGCCCCTACCTGGTGGCCTGTTATTGGAGAGTTTTTGCAAGAGGGCCTGTAGTACCAGGGGGATTTCTAACAGCTGCTGTCTGGATGAGTTTTGCCCAAGCAGGAATCAATCCTTTTGTCTGCATTTTCTCAAACAGGGAGCTGAGGCGCTGTTTCAGCACAACCCTTCTTTACTGCAGAAAATCCAGGTTACCAAGGGAACCTTACTGTGTTATATGAGGGAGCATCTGTAAATCTTTAGCCTTGTGAAAACTAACCTTCTCTGCTGAGCAATTGTGGCCCATAGCCATATTTTGAGAAGAAATTCAAGAATGGAATCAGCAGTTTTAAGGATTTGGGCAACATTCTGCAGTCTTTGCAATAGTTCACCTATAATCCTATTTTAAATCTCAGAGTGATCCTGCTGACTGCCAGCAAAGGTTTGTAATTAAGAAGGGACTGAACCACTGCCCTAAGTTTCTTTATGTGGTCAAAAACTAGATAATGAAAGTAGCAGGTGCTAAGTATCAGTGCTAAATGCTCTGTATGTCACTACATATGAAAAAACATCAAAAAACAATTAGCATTGGACATCTTAATAAATTAAGTTGACATGAGGTAAATGTGTTGATAAAAACTAATTTTAGAAGTTTGAAGACTTTAAAACATTTCATACTACTATTGTTTTGCAAAGACTAAAATATTTGGGGACTTAAAGTACTGTAATCCACTAAAGACGTGCCAATGAATTATTGGAATATCACACTTTAAAAACCGCCTTGTAAGTTCTGGGGAGCATTCCAAAGCAGTATATTGGTTCCAATTAGAGTTTACTTTTTTTGTATTAATACATTGCTATTTCTAAATACCACTTTCCTCATCTACTAGTAAGATTGCTAGCATTGAACTGTATTATGTGGTTTTTGTTGATTTGGTATAAAGTTTTTCCAATTCATTTATATTTTACAAATGCTAGATATTGGTCTGGGAGGCAACATTAATGGTACCAGCCTGTCACAACTGAGCAGTTCTAATAATGCAGAATAAATACATGTTGCCTTAAAGGGTTATCTAGTATCCTTCATCTTATTTAGCACTGGAGCAAATAGCCAAGGGAAATCAAATCAGTAACTGGTCATGGTCATGCATCTAAAAGTGCATGGAAGATCATTTATTACTTTTTCCTTTTTTCTCACATGGTTTGAAACTTAAAGTGCACATCACTGAAATAATGAGATTTTCTTCTACGGTGTGCTACCCTTTCTAAACTGTTCTAAGAAGCAGGCAGTTGATGTATGTTTATATTTTAAGTCAGCTGTCAAGGGGAGACCACAGCCTTAGTATGACATCCTGCACAATTTGTGAAGCATTTATTCTACTGAAGGCACAGTCTTGTTTATACTTTCTGCACATTCAGTGTATTGGTAATTTAAATTATTTCAGTTTTAACTTGTGAAAGCTTATATTATGATTTCTGGTATTTTAGAAATACATTAGAGTCTGTGAGTCTCATTCTTTAAGATACAGATGTGTGAACTTCAATATAAAGTTGCATTTGCCAAAATTTACCCGTGTAGCCTGTTAATTTTCTTGAAATAAGTTTTACATTTTTGGCACATAACAACTTTTTTTTTAATTTGGGAGGCAAGCACAAACTAGGAAGACTAGCTTTATTATGGTTTTGCTTTTTGATTCTTGTAGCTACTACATTCCAGACTGGAAATGTATGAATGATAATCAACATAATGCTGATAAACTGACATAATATTATCTGTAAAAGCATTATTTGGTAGTTTATTATAATCATCCCTCTATTATTCTTAAATGCCAGTAGTATTTAGAGATGTGTACCTGCTTAGTTAATTGGCTCAGAATTTTAATATAAACATCACACTTTAATTTGGAGCATAGTACCATAGAAATTTGGGGTTCTAAATATACAACTTGTAAGAAGAATGGTTTACACTAACATTATGACAAAACTAGAAAAAGTTATTATTTTTGTTTGCTTTCTGTTGTTTTGTTTATTGGTTGGTTTTTGTGAAGTTTATTTTTTTTTGGTATTTGATAATTAAGATTAGGAATCTAATAACACAGAATTCCATATTGCTATAGTACTTCTGTAAAGAGAATATCAATATAAATAAGGAAAATAAATCAATGAAATGTTTCAATGATATATGCAACTATTCAGTTTTGCTCTTATAAGGACAGCTCAAGCCATGAATTAGTGAGCATTCTGACCTCATTTTTACTTTACACCAAAGTTGATTAGATCTGAGACAAAATTTAATGCACAACAGTGAGTTGGATCTAGCAATAAAGTCTCCTTGGTACTGAAATCATTATCTAAAATAAAGGAAATGTTATCAAAAGATGTTCTGATAACATTGTGATTGTAACTCAAAAAAATTTATAGTAGAAACGTAATTGCAATGATGATAATAACTAACTCTGCTTAGAGGTTCAAATATCACCAGCAATCAGTAAAAAATTCAGCAATAATCTTAAGGCCAGAGAGAACAGGTTCACCATTGCATAGACAAGAAAACAGATATGGGTTAAGAGTTGGGGACTGAGGAGTCAAGAGCAACGGCCACGTGAAGCTGCCTGACTCCACCTAGCTATTTGGAATAACCGATTCCCACAGTTTTGGTAAGAAACCAGCCCCAGTAATCAGTAAGTCAGGCTGAACTGCAGTGACTTTTATTTAAGCCTACTCCTGACTAACTTGGCATTTGCAGGTCAAGCAGGAAGCAGTTGACAAGACACATCCTCAGTGAATCAATGCCATTTGTAACTCAACTGGTAACAGTAGTAATCATACAAAATAAAAACCTGCTTCAGTGTCTTAATGACCAAATCACATTATCTATTTTAGCACTCATTCCAAAATTCAGTATTTAATGTAATTAATCTTTAATCCATAAAAATACATCCCCACTGTAGCGGGGCAGGGGGTGTCCAACTTCCCTGTGAGACTGATTATCAATAATAATGTGTCTCCCTCTTGGACTGAGCACACATCTGAGCTGAACGGCCTTTAAATTGTTTTTCATAATAGTGGTGATATGTTTGCGTGGATACGTCTGTACTATTTCATCTGGTTCATTTTGCATGTAATAGATTTATCTGTGAGATGCCTGGCTGAAGCTAGGCATTCAGTCTGTGACTGTGGAATCCTATGCAGGTATTAACCAAGGCAGAAAGAGGTGAGTAACTTGCCCATTTCTCCACAGAGACCCCATTTAAATAACACAAAATTGACCACAGTGATTAGATGAAAAAATTATTTGTAGATAGGATAATCTATTGACTGAATTATCTTTTGCAGATATCAGCTGGTTGGATTTCTCACCAGGATTGTCTATAGAAGTTAACTGATTTATGATTGTTAACACATAAATATGGCCACTTATCCATTTGCCTCAACTTCCATGGATGCTACCTGAATTGTTTGTTCATTTATTTACTTTTTCAACAAATATGTGCTGGGTGCTGGGCTTGGTGCTGAGTGCATAGTGGAAAACAAAGCAGAACAGTCTCTCATTTAGATTTCTTAATCTAGTGGGAAAGAAACAATAAATACATAGTAGCAATGAGTTGTGAGTGTTAATATGGTAAAAATTCCCTAAGAAGAACTTGGTCATAATGGCCATAAATGGACTGTTCTCCATTTTCACTTCAGTGCCTTATCACCTATCTTTGCCCAGTGTTATTTGGGATCTCGTATATATTATACATACTCCCTCAACTGAGAGGGAACCCCCTCATTCTATTCAAAGCACCAGGAACCTTTCACCCACACTTACACGAATCAGCGTGTTGTATTTTAGAACCAGCTCCCATGTAGTTAATTCTATCTACATAATAACAGCAAAATCTATTTTCCCTTCCAAAGTTCCCTTCATATCCCAACTATCCACTTCCAAAACAGAGATATTTCAATTGCTTTAAGAGACATGGAGGTGTCTTTTCTGACATACTCACATGTTCCTGCAAGATAGGATGAAAATGCGTGGGTAAAATGCAATCAAAGGAATGACTTATTTGTGTGCATCTTACGATGACTTGCGGGGGCCCTCCCAAGTAACTTGTGAAACAGGGTGCATATCTTTTATTATTAAAGCATGCCACCCCGTCAATGTTTTTTTTTTGCTCCTTAATTGGAATACAATAAAACTCCCTAATCGCCTATCAGCTGAAAACTTGGTTTGGCCTCCAAAATTTACTTCTATTGTAAGTACAATGAAACTGATTTATAACCATACAGATTACATTTTTCAGCTAAACTGTGTCATAATGAGTTGGGTTGCACCTGGGATTACTGTAGGACAGTTGCAAACAGAGCCAAAACTCTTCACTTCTGTGTATTCACTATTGGATAAATTTACTGGGTTTCATTATTTCATGCCATATGTAGCATAGACTGTATTATTATTATTAAAACAAAAGCAGTTTGCATTAATTTCATATTAAAAAGAAAAGAAAGAAGCTAAGATGATAAATGGTGATGTTTCAAATACTGGCTAAAGACATTAATCAAGGTAGATGGTAACCAGAATTGTGGGTTATTTATGGTTCTAAAACCTTGTGAGTTTATTTTTCTATGCAAAAATATATCATTTTCATGTTTGTTAATATTCTCTTATAAATGTTTTAAATGGAAATTGCAGGATATACTAAGAACTGTTTACTGCTGAAATTTTTTGTTGTTATTGTCAACTGTGGGCATGTCAGCATCTGTGAGTTTTCTAATTCCCTCAGAAACTTTTTTTACACCACATTAAAATGGTAGAATTGCTCAGTTTTGATGCAAAAATTCATAATTAGTCTGTATAGTGGTTAAAATGAAAATAACATTTGCAAATGACTGGAATTTCTTTTTTGGCCATCAGTCAAAACAGTCAAATAAGTTAAAGGCATATTTGAATTGGAGCAACGTAGAGAGAAGTTTTTGTTGTTGTTGTTGTTGTTTTGATAACTGTTTTTGCCTTATGCTGCAATGTAACAGGCTCTAAATAATATATTAAAACCAAAAAAGCTTTAACTGTATGAAAAGATTATATAAACAAGTCCTGGTTTTTAAAATGGGGCAGGAGTTTTACATCATCCCTTTTTGCCAAAGGGATGATGTCCATTAGCTGCTCAATCCCTTTGGGTTAAAAGGCTTTTAAAGCCAGTTTTCCTCTCACCATAACAGGCAGTTATTACAAGGACTGGCTCCCTGAAAGGTCCCCAGAGGAAATCAAGGAGACTGTGTTTCCCTCTGAGTAATTGAAAAAAAAAAAAAAAAAAAGGCCTCAAAGCCACAGGTGGTTTGGGGTTTTGAATTATTCACACCTGACATTCATAGCTGCCTCCTTGGCTCCTTCTGGGGACGTAGGACAACATCGTGCTCAGAAAGACCTAGGTTCCAAGTTCAGCTTGGAGGCAGAAAGCAATTCCTTTTTCTTCTCTCTGTGTTTGGAAAATAATAGATTATTGACACAAATATTAAAACTGATACTGTAATGCATTTCCTGGTTTGTGTGGTTTTGACAGACAATAAAGTAACATTTAACTTATAAGGGTATTCAAGATTATGGGATAAGGAAACAAGTCATTCATTATCCCACAATATAAGGAAGATGACTATAATCCTACAATATAAGGAAAAGTGATTATAATTTTTAAAGCTGAATTGACACTTGAGCTTGAACTAGCTAAAGTTAATTGTTCCTTTTCATAGCTTTCAGGGGGAAAAATCTGACTAAATAGATGAAAAAAGAGTTTGTTCTTTTTCATCCAAAAATTTAAAAGTTAAAAGATCATTTTCTTCTGTGAAAAAGGGAATTTTTGAACATTTTTCTTAAGCATTTTTACTTAGACACAATTCAGTACAACAATCATTTATTGCGCATCTACTGCATGTGTGATTTTGGGCAAGTTATTTAACCTTTCTATTCCTCATCAGTAAAAAGTGGACTGCAATGGTACATATGTCCTAGGGTTTTTGAGAAGATTCAGGGAGTGTGCATCCTTGTGAAGCCCTTAGCAGAGTCTGACATCTTAAATAAATTTCATTTTTTACTGCGTATGAGGGGCTGGCCCTCTCATAGTTCACCATCTAGCAGCAGAGACATCAACAAATTATGAGATGATGTGATAAGTGCTGTAAAGAAGATATGTGAGATAAGTGTTAAAGGAACACAAACAAGCAATTAATTCTGTGAAAGTGGGAGCAGGAAGGTGAGATAGAAAAGGTGACACTTGAACTCAGTCTTGAAGGATAATTTTAATTTAATCTGCTTGACAAAGTTGAGAAAGTCATTTCAGATAGAGGGAATAACAAGGTGAGCAAAAGGCAATGAGATTTGAAAGCTCATAATGTGTTCAACATAGGGATTCACTAATCAGAGAAGTTTATGTGGTGTGGCTGGGATTTAGGTACTGAACTGGGAAGGCCAGCATGGTGTAGAAGTTAAAAAGCGGGACATTTGGAGGTTTAAGTCCTTATTCTGGCCCTTACCAGCTCTATGGTCTTAAGCAAATCAGTTAAACTCTTTGAGTCTCAATTTGCTTATCTGTAAATTGAGGAATAAGTAGTAGCAACATTTTAAGATTTGCTTCGAAGATTAAATGAGATAAAAATATAACTATTATTTATTAAGTACTTACTATGTATCAAGCTCTGTTCTAAACACTTTTCATATATCAACTCAGTTGATTATCACAGTAATTAGATGCTATTATTATCTATACTTCGCAAATGAAGAAACTAAAGCACAGAGAAGTTAAGTAACTTGCGCAGGTTGGCAAAGAATAGCTGTAAATCACTTAGTACAGTAACCAGCACATTGTGAACTTCAGTAAATTCTGGCTATTGTTATTGTTATTACTGCTGCTACTGCTGGTTTTGTTTTGTTTTTTGTTTTGTTTTCTTTTGTTCTTTTTAAATAGCTGGCCAAGGTTAGAGACTAATGGGAGCGGAAGTGACTGAGCAGAAACAAAGCTCCCAGCCTTCAGAATTCACCCCCACCTTGCTGCTCTCTCTCTCCTTTCCCAAGGAGAATCTGAAGGAAGCAAAGAATAGTAGTTCTAATATCCCTCTCTGCCTTCATATAGGATTGTATTACTGCAGAAACAGGAGAATCTATTTGATTTTTCAAATAACTTTTCAGAAGAACGTTGCTTAGATTTTAAAAGTGGGTTACACAGTTCACACCAGGTGGGGAGTTTTACCTACATCTGGCTCATATTCTGGAGTACTAAATCAATTTTGTCACATTCTATGTAAAGTGGAGATTTAAAGTTGATGATTATCACAGGCTGGGTACAGTCTTTTCTTGGAGTCTGTCAAGTCTCCCTTTAAAGGTCCACCTTCCAGGACCATTATTCCCAGTCCATGTCCCAACTAATTACACTTCTTTCCCTACTCTGAAATTGCTCTACAGCCTTCTATAACACTAGTGTTTGTAGCTATACATAGTAAAGGGATAATTCATGGATAATACAATGGCAGAATTACCCCATAAGTACTGTTTGCTTAGTATTTGTGCATCACATGGTCTTCCCACTTTTCTAACTCTTGACTCGTGGTCAGCTGTTAACACACCTGGTCATTCATCACCGCATTTTTGTAGGCTATTGTTTTGGCCATTTGAACCTCTTGCTTTCATTCCACTTGGGCTGGACTTCCTTCTTTTTATTTGACCTCTTGCTTTACCTCTTGCTGGCATCTTAAATAAATTTTATTTTTTACTGTGTATGTGGGTTGGCCCTCTCAGTTCACCATCTAGCAACAGAGACATAAACAAATTATGAGACAAACGTGATAAGTGCCATAAAGAAGATATGTGAGATAAGTGTTAAAGGAACTCTTGTGTCAAGGTAGTTCCAACTTCTAACATAATAGCTGCTGTCTTCCTCCCATGCCAGCTTGGTGTTGTCTGTGGTCTCAGTAAACATAGCTTCTATTTAATTACCTTACGCAGTCAAGAAAAGCTTGTCAGCCTGGATGTTAGGCAGTGAGCTGCTGATCAGCTACAGGGCAAGATCAATTCACTTGACCTCTTAGTCCCTTCAACTGTATAATGAAGGGGTTGAGCTCTAATATTCCACTGGCTTGAAAAAAATCTATGATTTGCCCATCTGGGTCACTGATATTCCCCGGATATAAGTGATATGGCTATTCTGAATCAACATAGCTTCCCACAGCTGACACTGGTCCACTGAAAGCCACTTCCTATGTATAGGACTCCAGCTAACTAGGTTTCTACCTAAGAAGTTGTAGGCCCAAAGTGATCCCTGCTTGTTGATATCAGCACTGGAGAATATCTACAGCACGTTAAAATATTCTTTCACTGGTATTCTGCTTTATTCATGTGCCAACTTCATAATAGAGCTTTTAATTTTAATAAGACAGACTTGATGCTCTGCTTCCATTTCAGATGACTACATTATGGATATTTGTGCCCCATTATTTCTTTGTATTCTATTCCTTGTATTTTTTTATGTTCTATCTCCAATTATAAATATGTTATAAATAGTTCATGGATTTCTTTTAGAGGGTATCAAACCTGTTTCAAGATTCTGTTTCAAACATACAAACCATAAAATTTAGGAATATGTTTTAATATCACCACAGTTTTCGATTACAGAAGGACCTATTTTTGAATGGATACTTACTAAGCACCTACTATATACAAGGAGTTCTACAGGGTTGTCAATAAATCGTTTGATCAAACCTGCTACTGGCTTGGGTTTTAGTCTTACAGACTTGCAAACTGAACATAAATCTAGTTTTCTTTTTATAGATTTTTTTGCTATGCCTAACATGCATTAAAAATGGCTTTTAAATTTAACCCAGTGCAAAAGTGTATACTATTTTTAATTACACACAAGGTTTAGATTTAAATGTCTATAATTAATAGTACATTTTTATTGATACTTTCTGATTTATATTTTAAAATGATTTATTGTGAAACATCCTTTTCATATTTTTAATCTAGTGGCTTGTTGACTTTTAACTAGAAAAGATAGTCTTATGGTAGTAACTTTTTAGCTACCATTAAAAATAAGAAAGTTGGTAGGTAATATAGTAGAGAAAATAGTCGTGCATCCTAGAATTTATAATTCAAAGAAACAAGTGTTCCTATTTTTAGATAGTCCTGATACACCCACAGAGCATTGGAAATTTGGAACAATTATTGCCATCAATGCTTCTAGATAAAATGCAACTGAGTTTCTCGATGCAGAAAGAACCTGTGTTCTCTGTGGTGCTATTATTTGTTATGCCTGGAAGGTCTTGAGCATTGTCTGTAGTGCATGAGCTCCAGTGCTTTGTGTTTCCATCATGGGCATAAAAAAACTGTCATTTTCAGGAAGAAAAAAAAAAAGAAGAGAGAAACACATTTTCTACCGTAGTGAGTCTTACTGAGAAAGATTTGCTCTCTGTTACAATTTTAAAACCAATTCAAATTGTATGTACATGAAAAAATAGATTCTCATAAATATTCAACTGAGAAACATTCTATTTTAAACCAACTAAAACTATACTTATATTGATAATCATGATCAATTATAATGTGTTCATCATAAGGATGAGGAGGAATATAACAAAGGAAATAGGAGACCCGGCTTCTTGCCTTAGATACTTCTCCATGGCAGAAGGCAGAAAAACATAGTTAAATATATTTCACCATTAGCAGCAGAAACCAGGATGTACCACATACATAATCACCAAAGAGAAGCTACATAAAGAAATAAGAGAATGGTAGGAACCAGTGACACTTGAAAAAAAATTATGAGTAGGAGAGTTTGAAAAGTTTGAAAGTAATTTTTAACAAAGGATGAGGCCAGTTTTTTAAGTTGTTTAGAATTTGACCCCACTGTTTAAGAAACTTCAGTGTCTCTCTATTATATATCTGGGACTGAATTCAAGGCCCATTGGTAAGATCCTTTATGATACAGCTTTATTTTCCTCTATCCAGATCATTCTCTCATCCTTTTCTGTTTTCCATTCTTTATCACCATTCCATAAATACACACACACACATATATACCTCTACCAGCATACAAATACATACTTCTCCTTCTCTCCCAAGCTATCCAACTCAATCTATACGCCCATTTGTCTTTAATCACTTTGACCCACAAATCAATTTCTCAATTTTCTGCATGCCGAAATTATATGTAATCAGTATTTGGCTTTACATGATGAGATGGAGTTCTCTAATAGCTTCAGATTTCTCTAGTAAGATTGTAAGCTCATGGGCCTTGTCTTCTACCTACTTTCTATTCCCACAAAGTATACTAGCTTAATACTAAGCAATAAGTAAATGTTTAATAAGGAGAAATATTATTTACATATGATAGAAGAGAAAAAATATTAATTCAAAGAATTGTCCTATCTTTCTATCTCTTTTACTAGCACTCTCTTTGTCCTTGTCCCAGTTGGGATGCTAATTCAAATATTATGTCCAGAACAGGTGAGGTCAGTAAGGGAGGAGAGAGAAAGAGAGAAAATCTGTAATTACAATCTACATAAGCCTCCCCTCTTCCCTTTATAAATGAATATACTATAATATTTTAATGAAAAATGAACTTTAAAGTTTTCTTTAATGATGATGAATTCTGAACTATTCATGCTTTGTCACCTCACTCCCTTATGATTGGTTTCAGACAAACGGCCTACAGAATCAGAAAGACTATATGACATTTTCTTTATAGCTGCAATTTTCATATAAACACACTAAGCAATATTGAAGCAATATGTTCAACTTTTAAAAGACATATTTTTATTTTAGAACATTTTTCACATTGAACGATATTCACAGATGGGGCACATTTTATTAATCAAGGATATCTCTTAATCTGTGCTTCAATAAGGACCTAAATTAGACTCTATTTAATAGATAATTCATTGCAACTTCAAAAATGTCATCATTTAGCAATCAGTTAAGCTGTAGTAGAATTTTTTTAAACCACACTAGCACATTTAGATTACTGAGAACAAGATCAAGAATAAGAATTAATGCTTATCAAGTATAAAATACTGCCTTAAGATCCATATATGTTCCCAATAACTGAAATAAATTTGTAAAATGTATTATAGAATAACCCAATTTTTATCAGATGTTTCAAATACAGTGACTGAAAAATCCCTCTGAAACATCATTAAGAATATGAGCCCATAATTTCATATTCCATTTCATGTGCTAAGAATATTAACCTAATAGCAACTGAATTTTTAATATATATCTAAGCATACTTTAGAATAATTTTGTTTCATTTCAAATAGATTACAGGCTGTTAACATAAATGCTGCTGAGTTTGGTGTATAATGGCACTTGTTATTTTTATTGAATTATTGTTATCATGATCATAGTTATTTTAAGTCATAATAAATGGGGACAATTTGGGTGTCAGTTGGACATAGGAGTAAGAAAGGCTTATAATCTTAGTTTATCTGAGACATGAACACCCTAGGTATTTATCAGTGATAAAACTGGATATTTGGGTTTCTTGATTTCACAATTATTTTTTTAAAAGCAAATGTTCTAAGTTCTAGGTGAACATAAGCCCATTTTTAAAGCTAATGCCTTTTTTATACTAAAACCTTCAGTTTAAAATTTCTTCAGAGAATTAAATAATTGTTAGAGCCAGGGACAAGTAATTATAACCTTTTATTTTGTTAAAGGGTTATAAACTCAATGTCTTTCTCTATTCAGTTAGCTGAACTTGGTTGTGGTTTGGAATACTGAAGAAGGGATCATAAAGAAGATTTTTCAATTGTTGTAAATCACTTTTCATTCATTCATTCAACAAATATTTATGCACCGCCTACATATGTATCTTATATTATACATATTAATCTGGACAGCTGATTATCTCAACTCCAAAAACAATTTTAACTTTTTAAAAAGTATTTTTGTAACTAATGTTCCAACTCTCACTTTTAGATTTTAATCATTAAAGATAAAAATCACCCTACATATTCATACCTGAAACACCTTGTTTCTCAAATCAGGAAAGCAAGTGCTCTATTCTATTAAAAATGATTGGATTCTGGGCATCTTAACTTAAGCAAAAGACCAGTTATATCATAAAAGTGCATTTTACAGAAAAATGTAAATAGGGGAACAAGACCTTTGGCTTCTAAGCCTACAGCAGTTCCCAACCACGTGGGGATGTGGTTTTGTGCAGTGATGCAATGAAGTGATTTGGCTGACCAACTCCCCAGGCTTCCAGATAGAAGTCAAGTTTCAGCAACATAGCAAGAGTATTCATCTGTTAGGACTGTGTTATTTGGTATATTCCAAATTTGGTAAAAAGAAAATGAATTATTATTGATTTGATTTGCATTGGTTTTTAAATCACAAGGAAAGGTGCCAAAAAATGGACAGCATGGATTTATTTTTTAGCTTAGGAATACCTACCCTGAAGCCAAAGCCACATTTTCCATAAATACAGTCAGTGCTGGAGAAGCATATAAGAGCAGACTTGTGGCTGGACTGGATTCTTGTGCTGGTCACTGAGCATAGTACAACACTGTGGATCCAGGAGGACTGAGAGTGACCCACTGGTAGCATCAATCCCCTTCAATAGTCAAGTAACTTTTAAGTTTTGCAACTTTAACAAGCTGACACTGAAGTAGAGGTAAGATGAGAGACAGATTGGGCTCATTAGCAAGCAGAAGAAATTTATGAACACCTTTTATTTCTCTGGGGCTACTATCTATCTCTCCAGACCGCAATTCACCTGCCTTCCTTTTATAAAAGAGCTAAAGGCTAATATCAGCCTACCTCCATCAAGTCACTGCCAAACACATCAGCAATTGTTTTTTAGGTCAAGAGATTCAAATGGCTGTTTTGAATGACCATTGCCAATATAAGCATTTCTCTACTGAATTTACTTTAAATTATTCTTCTGTTTCGCACAAATTGATACTGCTTTTACTTTGAATTTCTATATTTCAAAACTTTTCATGAACATCTTTTTTTAAGGAATTCAGATCCAATTACACTGCATTCACTTTTGAAGAAGGCACATTGAAAAAATGAAATTTCCTATTTCTTTTTCTTTGTCACCATTATACAGACTTGAAATTGTTAGGTGCCTCTTCTTTGTAAATAATTTACCATAAAATTAAGATTTTTCCAGGCTATTGTGGCATAAGGGACTTAGATAAATCCATGTGTGAATGGAAGCCCGCAGAAGGGCATATCAGTGGCCACAAAAGCAAAGCCACCCACCCCACACGACCCTCAGGAACTCAATGACTAGGTCTCACACATCAACCAAAGTAACAGAAGAGAAAACACAAAACGAAGGTTATGATTCTTGTTGATGAAATAAATGGCACCATGGGAAGAATAATAAAAACAGCTCTTTTAAGTCTATCAAAATAAAAAGTAATTTCTAAGGTATAAATGCCACAATAGGGATGAGTTAATAGGAAAATGGAGTCTGAAAGGCTCTGAAGAGAATGGACTTAATCGTGTCTAAGCTTATGAATCTGATGAATATTCCTATGCAATAATATCACAACAGATTGAATTCTTAATATAGAACATCACATTGGTTCAGTGAAATAAAAGGAATTACAAAGTCATTACATACAGTGAAATTTCAGGAGCACACAAGTATTGTTTTCCTGGCCATCCTGAAAGCCTTCTCTGAAAGTATTTACATCTCCCAGTTTCTATATGTTACTAATTAATGGGTCACTTTGGTTTGTATATTAGCATGGAACAAATAAGTTCTATGGGGGAAAAAATGTTGTTTAAACTCTTCATAGGTTTTGTGTGTCCAAAAATGTATGTGTATTATTTATATTTTTACTTTTAAATGGATTACACCAGTGATATGGTTTGGCTGTGTCCCCACACAAATCTCATTTTGAATGCCCGCATATTGTGGGAGGGACCTAGAGGGACGTAACTGAATCATAGGGGCAGGTCTTTCCTGTGCTGTTCTCGTGATAGCAAATAAGTCTCCTGAGGTCTGATGGTTTTATAAAGAGGAGTTCCCGTGCACAAGCTCTCTCTCTTTGCCTGCTGCCATCCATGTAAGACAGGACTTGCTCCTCCTTGCCTTCCCCCATGATTGTGAGGCTTCTCCAGCCATGTGGAACTGTAAGTACAATTAAGCCTCTTTCCTTTATAAATTACCCAGTCTCAGGTACATCTTATCAGCAGCATGAAAACGGACTAATACAACTGGCATATTTTAAAAATATGTCTTTTCACCTATCATAACAGGACAAAGAGTACAGTTCTATCCAAGAGCCAGAAGACCTGAATTCTAATTCTGATGCTGCCGCTAACTCACTGAGTGACCCTGCCAATGTCAGCTAATCTTTCAGGACCTCAGTTTCATTATTCTCAAACAACCTCTGAGAAAAACTCTGCTCTCATCCTCAGCCAGTTTCTTTCATTGTTTCAACTACGCCTTTTAAATCTAAGATTAATATAATGAAATTTTCATTTATATTCACTGCACAATTTTTTAACTAGATTTTTAATGGACCCATATAATAACAATAATCCCTACTTTCATTAATAGTTTGAAAAAATGGTCTGAATAAAGTTACAGAGGTTCTAAATGTGCATAAAGGACCTACTTTATGCACAGAAAGCCTTCATTTTATGGGAAGCGACTTTAAACAGGTGTGTGTGTGTGTGTGTGTGTGTGTGTGTGTGTGTGTGTGTATTTATATATGTTCATATATCCTGAAAGCTATATAAGCCATAAAATGATTAAAGAGAATTTTTTTTCATTGGGAAGAAAAATAATGAATCACGTAATTATTTTAAGAGAGTTAAAGAATGACTGAAATAACAAATTAGATGGATGGAATATGTGATGCTTCCAGATTCAGACCCAATGGGGACTTCGGAAGAAGAATCCACGTATTGTTTTATTTATGGTTATAGGAAACAAATACCTATAGAGACAGAAACTAAAAGCTAACAGCATACAATAAAAGCAAGGAAAACTTTGATAATATAGAAATAATTACAGCTTTATAAGACTTGCACCTCAAAACCTATCATCTCTAGCAAAAAGGTATGTTCTTGATCTAGGCATAGAGAGTAGAACCATTACAGGTAAGGGGTCAGCTTGTAATATGGATAACTGCTAGTTAAGGCTAATCTTAAAAAGAGTAGATGACCATCTGCAGTGTATTACTTGAAGGACCATAGAATTCTTTCTCCTAAAATATATATTATCTCCTATATGGCCTGAAATTCCTGTCTGGCAAGAGAAGTAACCTCCAGAAGGACACTGAGAAATCATATATGTGTAACATCACCGATTTGAGAAGGTCCCACTGCCCAACTCATCCTCTTTCAAACTACAGAGAGACCTTGTCCTATCAATTGTCCCCACCCCACTCCTGGAAGTTGAACCTCTCCTCTTCTGCTGGCTTTTGCTTTCTTGTATTTGGCATTTGAATATGTTCATGATTCTCTTGCCTCAAATAAACAATGAAAAACTCCTCAATCCTACATCTCCCTCCAGCTGTAATGCCTTCTCACCTCTTCCCAATCAAGCATCATCTTCTAGTCACTCTTCCATCCATGGCAGCCCTGTTTCCTTCACCACTTCTATTCCTAAGGTCACCAAGAATATCAGGGCTGGTAAATCTAATGACACTTCTTTTTTTTGAGGTGGAGTTTTGCTCTTGTTGCCCAGGCTGGAGTGCAATGGCACGATGTTGGCTCACTGCAACCTCCACCTCCTGGATTCAAGCGATTCTCCTGCTTCAGCTTCCCAAGTAGCTGGGATTACAGGCACCCACCACCACACCCAACTAATTTTTCATATTTTTAGTAGAGATGGGGTTTCACCATGTTGGCCAGGCTAGTCTCGAACGCCTGACCTCAGTTGATCCACCCACCTTGACCTCTCAAAGTGCTGGGATTACAGGTGTGAGCCACTGTGCCAGGCCTCCTCCTTTCTTTCCTGAAAATGTGAATTTGTGTGCTCACTTTCTTTCTTTCTCCCTCCCTGTCTCTCTTTGTTCAGTTTGATTAGAGGTTTATCAATGATACTGGTATTTTCAAAGAACCAGCTTTCAGTTTCATTGGCTTTCTTTATTGTTATTCTGTTTCCTACTTCATTGATTCCTACTCCTATCTTTATTAGTTCGTTACTTCTGCTTACTTTGGGTTTAATTTGTTCTTCTTTTTTAAATTTTCTTTAGGTAGAGGTTTACATAACTGATTGTGACCTTTCTTCTTTACTAATATAAGAATTTAATGTATACTTTTACCCATAAGCACTTGAAAAAATATATTCTTCTAATTTTGGGGATAGGCTGGGCCCTGTCTTTGCCATTCACCATATAATCCCTAAAATCCAGCACAGTGCCTGGCACAGAGTCCATTCGTATTTGTTGAACAAATGAATAAATGAATGCATGAATGATTGCAGATTTCCTCTCCTTCTCTGGCTCATGCCACTTCATTGCTCACTTGAATCACTGCAGAAGCCTTCTAACTGGAGGGACTGTGTCTGCTATTGCCCTCCTTCCGAACTGTTTTCTGTACTTCTTCCAAATGAGCTTTCTGAAACCAAACTTGATGATGTTTCTGCCCAATTAAAAACCCTTGAATTGGCCGGGCGCAGTGACTCATGCCTGTAATCCCAGCACTTTGGGAGGCCAAGGTGGGTGGATCAACTGAGGTCAGGAGTTTGAGACCAGGCTGGCCAACATGGTGAAACCCCATCTCTACTAAAAATATGAAAAATTAGCTGGGCATGTTAGCAGGCACCTGTAATCCCACTTACTTGGAAGGCTGAGGCACGAGAATTGCCTGAACCCAGGAGGCAGAGGTTGCAGTGAGCCGAGATCGCTCCACTGTACTCCAGGCTGGGTGACAGAGTGAGACTCAGTCTCAAAAAAAAAAACAAAAAACAAAAAACAAACAAACACACAAACAAAAAAAACTTGAATGGCTTTCTAATGTTCTTAGGATAAAATCTAAACTCCTAGATATTGCTTATAAAACTACTTGTAACCTGGGTGCTGTGTACTTCTGTCACCTAATCTATTTTCAATCCCTGTTTATACTCCGTTCTCCAGCCATGCTAAATGTTTCCCATTACCATGAACAAGTGATGCCCTTCCCTCACTGAGAGCTTTTGTACTTGCTTTGGTCTGGAAGACTGACTTCCAACCACCTGTTTCTCTAGGTTAAGACATAGCTCTTCCAGGAAGCCATTCCTAACCCCTCAATTCTGGATTCTGGTGCACATCCTATGTTCTTTCCCTGCCACAGAAATTATTGACATACAGTACTTCATTAGTCTACATCTTCTCCTCTTCACTGTAAGGCCTCTGGAGACAAATGCCGCATCCATCTCATTCATCACTGATTTCCACAAAACCTGTTACAGTGCCTGGCAACTGGTAGGTCCTCAGAATACACTGGTTGGATAAATATTCTCTAGCATTTTCCCATCCATTTAGAACACCTTCATTGTCACTTTGGATGGCATAGGAACTTGGACTTGAAAGAAGAAAATAGGGGAGAAATAAGTTTGGAAGATGGGGTTGAGTGTTAGTTTAAAGGCAAAATGTTCTGCACTAAAATTAGTGAATTAGGTACAAGTGGAGAGGACAAGCTCAGGAGCTCAGTGGCCTTAGGATATGACACCAGTAACCATAACAGGACAGGGAAGACTGAAAATTTCTGGGACTTTAAGCTTGCTCAATGAGAGCCAGGAGTCTTTGAAGACAGGCTTGACTGTCAGCTCTGAGAATCCAACACACAGAAGTCAAGGAAAGGATGACAACAGCTAACTACATATATATATACACATATAAACATATATATGTATATAGTTAGATATATATATATCTGCACTCATTCATCCATCAACTTATTTATTATATATGAAATATATAATTATATATAATTAATAAATAATTTATTATATATAATAATAAATAATAAATAATTTATTATATATAATAATAAATAATTTATTATATATAATAATATATAATAAATAAGTAGGATGAATGAGTGCAGAATTATATATAAAATATATTATTATATATATATAATATTATTTATTTATTATATAAAAATATACATTTATTTTATATATAATAAATAAGTTGATGGATGAATGAGTGCAGATTTCCTCCAATTCTCCAATAGTGCACTTGGCTTCTGGGAGGTTCACAAGTTCTGCTGGAAGAGCAGACCATGGCAGTGAAGAATCCAGAGGGAGGCAATATAGTGCAGTGTGAACTTGCCTTCTTCCTTCTTCTCTCCAGATATACCATAAAGTTCCAAGTGAGTTAAAGCTATTATCTCACTAAATCCTCTGTGAAGAAAGCACTATTATTAATCTCATTTTGCAGAGGAAAACATCAAGGCTCTGAGAAGAAAATAACTCATTAATGATATCTGGTGTCAGGATTCAAATATATGTCTGCCTGCCTGGTAAGCCCAAACTCCTGCTCACCATGCTGTCCTGCCTCACCCCATAATAAACATCATATTTTGGTGCTTACTCTCTCAAAATTAGCTGCATTAATTACCTAATTTATCCACTCCCTACTCTAAGATACATAAACTGAGACTTAGAAAGGAAAAGTATTTTGCCTACTGTCAGGCAGATAATAAGAATTGAAGCTGGATTTTAAACCTAGATCTGCCTGTCTCCAAAGCCCAAATGCATATACTCTGGATTGTTACCTCTGTTTTGAATAATTAATTTTTATTAAAAGAGGGGTCTTTGGTTAGGGCCACATGATTAGTCAGGGTCAACTGGGGCTAGAGTCTGCCAACACTGAGCTAGAAGAGAAGGGCTTGAATCCTGCCTGGAGACAGCTCTGACCATGACGGATCTTAATATAACCCAGTCAGGTTGGGATAAGTGATGAAGGCATGAGGGAGAGGCCTAGGAAGAGAAAGGACAGGAAGTTGAGGCAATCTGGACAGAGCCTGTCCAGAGGACCAAATGGTTCCAACAACGCAGAATTGAGAACAAGTCTGGCTAGGATATCAAGCCAAGAATGAGTGGCTGTTGATAGAAATAATTCAGGGGAAAGCAAGGATAACAAACTTATATTAACCACTTAAAACTTGTTTAGCAAAGCTCTGGCTACAAACCAAGACACATTTCCATACTTATGCATATTTCCCTTTCTGTTCATTTTACATCCTATAGTTTGGTCATTCGGCAATGTTGCGATGAGACAGAATTTTCACTGCTCTAATCATTTAATATAGAGCATTTCTTTTAGGTTATAGAGACACTGCTGTATCTGCTACCATACCACCTAAATGAGGAAACTAGAGGAATGTCTTTTTTCAATCCAGGAAAGTAGCCACAATATGGAGTGATCTAGAAGAGATCAGCAGTGTGATAACTGTGACAGATTTTTTTCTTTCTCTCAGTTTGCCTTAATTGTTTTCTCCAATGTTTGTAATGCAATTGAATTATATTAAAAATAATAATGACTGTTAATTAGAATATTTAAATTAGGCTGCAAATATTTTTCCTTTCTAATATGCTAATTGCCAAAGAAGAAAGTCTATGTAGAAACCCAAGTAGAGGATGCACCAAATAAGGAAGAGCTGCTTTAGATGCAAAAGTGCCAACGGCAGCGAATTTCTTTGTTTGTTTGTTTGTTTCACAAGTTCATACATGGAGGTGGTGGGTAGTTAACAAATGATATGTTAACAGATGATATTTGTTAAGAAGCTGACAATACAGTGTGATGGCACCAGTGATAAAGTCAAGAATCTGGAGTCAGGTTGTACATGTCCCACTAATTAGCCTCGCAGCTTTAGGCAAATTTCCCTTCTGTAGGCTTCTTTTGTCTCATTTGTAAAAACAAGGTATTGGGATACAGGACTGTTAAGATCCCTTTCTATTCTAAGATATAGTGATGCTAAGTGAATGGATTCTAACAGCTCTAGTAGTTTAAGTAGCTGAGTATTAGAATCCTGATGGTGAGCCTAACAACATGACAGTAACAGTTAACAGTAGTAATTCATATCACAGGAATTCCCATCTGGTGGTCATTCACCCCTCTTCCTTCAACCCCTAGTCCTTAGCTGTTTCCAAACAAAAAAATAAGTCTAGAATGGAAATGGGAGCCAAATTCCCTGCAGCACCCTGAGAGTAGTCCTGTAGCACCTGCTTCTCTATTCTGTCCATTAAAATAAAAAATAAAATCTCCTATGTCCATCTGGTATCATTCAAAGGTTGCCAACCTGGCTTCATTCATGGGTACTAAATCCACTGACTCTTATCTAACACAAATTTTATACTTCCTATTCATAGACCCAGCATGAACGGAATCAGCAGATTGTGCTGTAACTAGTTAGCTGCATTTAATTCCAATAAGCAAACCACAAATTTCATGTAACCAATTTTGCTCTATGTGCTTCAAAATAGATTTAAGAAAGCAATTTAAATTTTTGGAGAAGATAAGACAATTCCAACAGTGCATAGCGTTTATTTTAAAATAACTAATAATTTGAAATCTAAGGTCACATTAAATGACAGAAAATAATAGATAAGTATTCAATAACAAAAATGGAAATTATCATTTAATTGGATGCGCGTAAATACAATTCTATAAAATAATGGCTATTAATCTTTTTAAAATAAAAAGTAACTGAGCTATTTACACAACCTTGGGAAAGTTTGCAATTAAAGAGGCAGTAAGGAAACAGGAAAACACTGCACATTCATTCCAACAAAAACAGTACCATAAGTATGAGGGGACTTCAAAAAGTTTGTGGAAAAATTGAATTAAAACATAAAAATAAGAATATAAGCTTTACTTCTCAACATAAGCTCCATCATGTTTAAGACACTTATAAGTGATGATATCAGCCATGTAGTCCGTTTTGAAAGAACTGTGGGTCCTGGGAAGTTAATCATGTCAATAAAGTCTTTTTTACATTATTAACTGAAAAAAATGGGTGTCCTTTAAAGATTTTTTAGTATTAGAAAACAAAAGGAAGTCAGAAGGAGCCATATCAGGATGGTAAGGTTGATGCTAATGATTGAAACTCTTGCGAAATTGTCCTTATTTGACAAGAAGAATGAGCAGGAGCATTGTTGGAGGTGGGAACTTCCTAGCGAAGCTTTACTGGGTGTTTTTCTGCTGAAATTTTAGCTGTGTCAACACATTCTCATAATAAGCAGATAATATCATTCTTTATCCCTCCAGAAAGTCAACCAGCAAAATGCCTTGAGTATCCCCAAAAAACTGTTGTCATTACCTTTGCTCTGGACCAGCCTGCTTTTGCTTTGCCTGGACCACCTTCACCTCTTGGTAGACATTGCTTTGATTGTGCTCTATCTTCAGAATCACACTGGTAAAGCCCTGTTTGATTTCCTGTTACGATTCTTTGAAGAAAGGCTTCAGGCTCTTGATGCTACTTGTTTGAAATTTCCCTGGAAAGCTCTGCTCTTGTCTGCAGCTGATCCAGGCACCATGGCCTTGGCACCCATCAAATGGAAAGTTTGCTCAACTGTAATTTTGCAGTCAGGATTGTGTAAGCTGAACCAAATGAGATATCTACGGTGTTGACTGCTGTTTGTGCTGTTAATCATCAGTCTGCTTCAAACTGGACACAAATTAGATTCATTTTCTCTTCCCAAATTGATGTGGATGATCGGCCACTACAGGCTTCATCTTTAATGTCATCTCATCTCTTCCTAAAATGAGTTATCCATTTGTAAACTGCTGACTTCATTGGGGCATTGTCCTCACAAAATTTTTGTAAAGCATCAATGATTTTGCCATTTTTACATCCAAGCTTCACCATAAATGTAATGTTTGTTCTTGCCTCAATTTTAGCATAATAATGTTGCTCTGAGAGGGGGCTCTTTTCAAACTGATGTTTTATTTACCTTAGTGCCTCAAACTCGATTCTGTTCAGATATGGTATAATACATTATAAGAGTAAGAGTTTATTTTGATGCAAGAAAATGAAATCTATGCCTAGTTTTTTCATAACATGCATTTTCTATGAACTTTGTGAAGACATCTCATATACATAATCAACCTAATGGTCTAATGAAATTTCTGTTTGTTATGAAAATATCAAATATCCATTTTGGCTCTTTTCCATACTATTTTGCTGGAAAGTAAAAGTGAAATAAGTCACTAAATCTTTTAATGCTAAGTTATAAATACATAAAGGTAAAAACTGAAGAGTTTGCCAATTGGACAAAAATAAATTCTGGTCTTTTGCTGTTTTTCTTTCTAATTTATGTACATTACCATTTTAGGAAACATAATTATGCAAAGACCATAAAGGTGTGTCATATTCCTTAGCCAAGGACAAGATGCTTTAATGGCAATTTTTGCATTTATTCTTCCTAATCTTGTAAGAACTGTCAAAGCCAAGAAAAAGTGTTACCATACTTCACTCTGACCACTTGCTTGAGCTTAATTTCCACTCTGTTGCATATGAACTCTTGAAGCACTTTATATAACTAAATGAGGGTATTACAGCAAAACAGGAGAAAGGACGATCAACCAGTAGCTATAAGAAGGTGATAGAGATTTGGAGAGAGCTGAGATTGTTGAATCTAAATGGTATGATGCACTGACAGAGGATGAGGTAAAATGAGGGAGAACACGTGGTCTGGGTTCTAGCCTTAACTCCAGTTCACCTCTAATGAGGCTCAAAATCTGTTGAAGACATTTGGACCCTCTTACCCCCAGTTTCAATAATGTATCTGGCTCTCTTACCCATTCACCTCCCCAGCTCTCTCCTCCTCACTGCTGAGCTCACTGGACACTCATCTGCAGTCTCAGCTTCTGAGATTCATCTCACTTAGGTGATTTGGCACTAATTCATCCCGGCACAGTGGTTCTAAATGTTGGCTGAATAATAGAGACTTCTAGGTAAGCCCCACACCCAGCTTACACCCCAGACAGACTAAATCTGAATCTGGGGTGGGAATCTGAACTCACGGATGTCGAAGCTTCCCACATGATTCCAATTTGCATCCAAGATTGGGAAACACAGGAGCTAGCTCCTGATTCTTATCACAAAATTTTTACCCTGATAATAAATTTGCATCAGTAACTGGGTTTCTGAAAAATTTCTAAAGACTAATTGTACCCATTTGTACTCTAGCTGCAGTAACTAGTTGTATGCCTTATCCTGTGGGCTAGAGTTCCTGATTTAATATTCTGTCCAGTAAAGCAGCTCTTCTAAGATGTGGTTCTTCTCTTCTCTAATTAGCACCATCAAACCTGGACTCCAACACAGCTGCCACAAAACTTCTGATATTCCAGAAGCCTTTTTTTTTTTTTGAGACAGAGTTTCACTCTTGTTGCCCAGGCTGGAGTGCAATGGCATGATCTGGGCTCACTGCAACCTCTGCCTCCCAAGTTAAAGTGATTCTCCTGCCTCAGCCTCCTGAGTAGCTGGGATTACAGGCCCCCACCACTATGCCTGGCTAATTTTTGGTATTTTTTAGTAGAGATGAGGTTTCACCATGTTGGTCAGGCTGGTCTGAAACTCCCTACATCAGGTGATCTAACCACCTCGGCCTCCCAATGTGTTGGTATTACAGGCATGAGCCGCTGCACCCTGCCCAGAAGCCTCTTCTTATGTTTCACTTTCCACAAAACTATTCATAACCTTTCTATTGAAAAATATATTTTTATTATTAGAGGTAATACTTATCTATTGTTTAATAAAATACTTAATAAGCCACTTAAAGAAGATGAGATCTGAAGTTGGGTCAATCCTATTCAAACAGAGAAAGAGAGAGAGAGAGAGGTAAACTGTTCTACATTAGGAGGCAAAAAAGAAATTTTGTAAACAAAAGTGAATGAGCCACAAAGAAAGAGAGGGAGAAAGAAACCAGGGTGACATGTGCAGCAAAAGCATTATATAGTCTGAAATATCCCACAAGGTAGGGTAAGTGAAGACTTTGAATAACAGGGATATATAATATATATGATGTTTGCTTTGAATTTATTTATACTACAGACAATATTATGTACATAATTTTCATAAACTAGTGTATACTTGTATGTGTATATATTCAGGGACAGAGTAAGAAGTCAAACAATACAAGAGTATAAAATAAAAAGTAAAATTCTCTTTTTCAGCCAAAACCCAATGGAAATCATTCTTAACAGTTTCTTGGTTACCTTTCAAGTATTTTCTGTACATATATAAGAATATATATGGATAGTATTTATTTTTTAAATGATTAATTACACATAGGTTCAAACAGTGGTTTCTAAAAAGATCTGCCATTTAAATTAACATAACATGACGATCTGATAATTTTAATGTATTTTATGATATTTATCCAGTGCTTGGTAAGGACTTGGAGCCCAACCTTGCTTGTCACATTCCCTGGATAATGAGTTGAGGTTTGGTGGCCACATTTTACTCCTATAAAATGTGATGGGAAGCTCTATTGGAAAGCTGAGTTTTTGAAATTCCGTTCCAAAATCATATCTACTTGAGATATGTTCAAACCATGGCAGGTACAGCAAGTGTGACTAGAAGGCCCAGAAGAGAACAAAGGTATTTTTAATTTGGTTTACCCCCACGCTGGGTAGTTTGAAACTATACCCCTTACCCCCAAATCTTTCAAATTTTGTTCTCAATTCCTCTATGTCTTTAATCACAAAACCTTTTACCAGGCTGAGACTTTTTTTGGCCTTCAGATTCTGACTTTTAATCTGTATAAAACTCTATAGTGCCCCCTTAAGTGATTTGAAGCATAGTTGTCCTGCAAAAACTTCATTTCTAACAAGTGAAAAAGAAAATCTTCTCCTGAAAATTTTATAGAGTCAATCACCTCGTAAAACAGATTAGGGTATCTGAGATTTTTCTCAAGAGAGTTACTAAGTAGCTCTTCTCCTCTTCCAAGGAGGTAAGTCTATGATGATGCCCAATCCTGAGTGGAACCAAGGCTTCGGTGTGGGAGAAATTACATTTTTCTTTGTCCAGAACTTTATAGTTGATGCTGTTTCTGTGTGTTGCACTAAAGTTAGTTTTTTCTCAGCATTAATATCCTGGGGAGATAGAAGACAAAAAGACAGTGGAAAATTGAGAAGTTGTATAAGAACTGTTTAGAACAGAAAGATTTTTGTCCCCTCCCCACTCTACTTGCAGTGGCCATGAAATCAAAAGCATGTCCCCATCTTCCTAAAGAAAGCATCTTCCAAAAGTAAGTTGGAGTTGGAGGGCAAAGTGGTGGAGGAGACATGGGGTAAGCTTGGTTCATAGTTATGAACCATCGCTATTATGAAAACAGACTTTATGGTCAATTAAAATTGCAGTATTTAAATGAAAATTGTTATCATATGTTCCCTACGTAGAAGCAGAATAATATCCACCAATTATTAAGCAGCAACTATGTTCCAGGCACTGTGCTGCGTGCTTTACATACACAATTTTATCTAAAACTCCCAACAGCCCCCCTGTAAAACAAATGTTATTGTCTGCTTTTTAAAGATAAGAAAATTGAAGTTGAGAGAGTTTGATCAGTTTGCTCAAAGTCACTGGGGATAAATGGTGGAACTGGAATTCAAATTTAGGTTTCTGGAACTCAAAAAGCACATGCTGTATTCATTAACAACAGAAGTCGTTATCATGTCAACAATGTATGGCTCGAAGACTACAAAAAAATAAAAAGTATTACAACCCAAACAAACTTCTTCATAGGTCCTCTAATTCCATCTTTCAACCCAATTAGGCAGCAAGAATAAGAGAGAAGTTATAAGCAGAAGGATTGAAAGACTTAAGGAGAGCTAGGATGAAGTGGGGAGAGGTACACTAGCAATTCTCAGGCCTACCCTAGAAAAGATATGTAAAGCACTAGATACAGCAGCCATCGCTGTGTTTTAAAAAAAGTAGAACAGAATGCTAAGCATGAATGTCTTTTTGTGTTCCCAAGTGACAGCATTTTATGCATTGTTGCTTTTTTGAGGTTACAGAACAGAGAAGTACAGAATTTATCCTCCTGGCTTTGTATTTGCATTTTTCAGAATTATGGGAGCGCATCTAGATGCAGACAGAATGAAGGCAAAGAATGCCTACATTGAAAATCGTCTGGGAAACAATAAATGGTATTCAGAGTAAATCTACAAAATGTATCCTAGAAAAACACACCAAAAAAGTACACACTTTTGGCAGATTTGTGCACCTTTACTCACCTACATACAGAGAAAGACACAGACCTGTTTTCTCATTTATCCTCAAAATTTTCCTTTGAATTAGGAAATCCTTTACAGTAAGGAAAACTAAAGCACAATAGTTATAAAATGTTGAGCTGCATGTGTTAGATTCCATAGTGTTTTTGTGTTTGCTTGGTTTGGGTTTGGGTTTTGCTTTGTTTTAAAATATTATTCTATCATCTCTTTTTTAAAAAATGACATTTCAATGCTGAGATTACTATGCTTAAATATCTCCAGATATCTGAATGAAAAATTAAGTATGCACATACTTATTTGGCTATAACTACTCAAAAGTCATTCTAAAATTATTTATTTATTTAACCCATTTATTTTATATTACATGTAGGGAACATAGAAGAATAGGAGATAGAAAGAATAATAAGATTGTATGCCTTCCACAAAGAAGCTTAGAATCAATTAACATAGCAAAGGTGAATGTGTACATTATAATAATAATATAATTGTTATAGTACTTATAGGAACTATGTCATAAAAGGGAAAAAAAATTATAACCAGCCGGGAGATCAGGAGTAGCTTGATGGAAACGTAGCATTTGAGTTGGGTCTAGGAAATTATTTGATATAGGCAAAATTGGGAGTAAAAAATAGCAGCATTCAGAAGAATGAAATAGTAGAGGCATGAAGCTGGGAAAATTTAAAGCATATTTGGGGTATGGCTTATATTCTATTTAAATTGTAGTCCAATATATATGTTGAAAATATTTTCAGAAAGTAAATTTGGGTTCAAATTTGAAGGCTTGCAAGGGCTGACTGCATAGATAATTATGAGGAATACAAAGAGCAGAGGTGGGTTTTTGTTGTTGTTGTTTTTGTTGTGGAAGGAATGCAATGATTTCCATCTTTAGACACTAAGGGCGCTATGTCATGTAGCCTCAACTTCACCAGTCTGGAAGAAAAAATAATCTACCAGGACCTAAGTCATATTTGGTAGACAGGAAAATAGAACTGAATAGAAATGCCGTAACAGCTCTGCAATAGCAAGGGCCCAGCTGAGATTGATAACATGAGAGGATATGGGACCCAACAGTGCCATTTTGTCACTTTATTCAACAAAGTTAGAACAGAGAAACAGGCAATGTGATTAAAGTTATCATTAATTACAACATGTCACAAAGTCAAGACTGCAAAGAATTTTAGGATGCCACAAAAAATATTGAAGAGACATACCAAGAAGTCTGGCATGGTTAAGAACGCAAGTGAATGCACAAAGTCACGTAACACAAGTCACATGGATGGCCTAGACAATAGTGGGGAGTCTATGACTTGGAGATCATGAAAGGGAAGAACAGAAGCAGTAGGCATGAGGGAAAAGAAGAAAGTGGAGAAAGACCTTCCAGACCCACAGAACATTATTTCATGCTAATGGATTTCAAAATATATATATTCCAATAGTGAGGATAAAAACACCAGTATTTATTTGAAATGGAAAAAGCAGAAGAAATACTCAGAGAAGATTGAAGGGCTTTTGCAAAGTATAATGCAGAAACTCGCAGAGGACAAGAAGGAGAAGTAGTAGGACAGAGCAGGTGTGGAAAGAGCTGAAGTGGAATAAATACAGGTACCATAAGACGAAGAGGAGGTACTGAGTGTCACAGGCAAGAGGGAAGCTGAAAATTCCAATCAGTGAGCTGTTATGTGGGTGAATTTTTCTTAATTAAAAGGTTTGGAGACTTGATTAGTCCTGGTGGACCAACTGAAATGGGGGTCATTGAAATTAGGTCATATAACAAAGGATCACAAACTGGGTGGCTTAAATAAAAGCAAGGTATTCTCTCATTGGTCTAGAGCATATAAGTCTGAGAGATCAAGGTGTTGGCCAGGTTGGTTCCTTCTAAAACCTGTGAGGGAAAAGCTGTTCCACACTTCTTGCCTAGCTTCTGGTGGTCTATTGGCAATCTTTGGCATTCTTTGTCCTGTAAAAGCATTACCCCATCTCTGCCTCTGCCTTCATCTTCACATGGTGTTCTCTGTGTGTGTGTGTGTGTGTGTGTGTGTGTGTGTGTGTGTGTGGTGTGTGTGTGTCCAAATCTCCCCATTTTATAAGGACATGAGTCATATTAGAGCTCCACCCTATCCCACTGTGACCTCATCTCAACTAGTTACATCTGCAAGGACACTTTTTCCAAATAAGGTCATATTGTGAGGTACTGGGGTACTTCAACATACAAACCTTGAGAGAATATGCTTCAATCTATAACAGTCCCCGCATAATATTGGTGGACTGGAGCTATGAGATTCAATCTCCCTAAGAACTGTGTGGTCTTGATATTGCCTCACAGTTTCAAACACTGGGGAAGAAGTAGTAATGGTGAACTACTGCATGTTTGGCCTCTTGCAGACAAAGCCTCTGGATAACTGACTGCAGTTTTTGTAGTTTGTATGGATGCTTAGACATTCATATATGCATAAATACAACCTGTGTGCATATAACTGTCTGCTAAAATGACCGTATACAAGTCATTCAAGTGTGAAGTGTAGAAGTGCGAATAATGCAAAGGAAGGCAAATTTGTAATATGATAATCCACAAGACAAGTATTACCATTCCATGCTGAATTCCTGAGATGTTCTCTCTGCAAGGCTGATAGAGGAGTTCAGCCTTAGGCCATAAGACAATCAATGCAAGGTTGATGAACTGCAATTAAAACATGTCAAGATCTAAAAGTTATTGAAGACAAATGGTTCTTTACTGAAGATGTTTCTCAAAGATAGGATATGTGATAGTCCTAGGAGAAAAGAAATCAGTTCTAGAAAAGTCTTCGCCTAATAATCCTTCAAGAAAAGTTGACAACATTCAAAATGTCAAGGTTTTTAACAATCCAGAAAAATACCGTTTATGCCTTTGATTTTCCAAAGAAGTCCTCAAAAGTAAGTTCTAAGAATTTAATGATAAAAAGACTTGCCCTTTAGAATACCACAAAATAATAACAAAAATGTGATAGATAAAGCTCCCATCACCCTAGGACAGAGCACCTGGGGAAAGGGGTGGCTGTGGGTGCAGCTTCAGCAGAGTTAAATGTTCCTGCCTGCTGGCTCTGAAGAGAGCAGCAGATCTCCCAGCACAGCACTTGAGCTCTGCTAAGGGACAGACTGCCTCCTCAAATGGGTCCCTGATCCCTGTGCCTCCTGACTGGGAGACAGCTCCCAGCAGGGGTCGACAGACACCTCATACAGGAGAGCTCTGGCTTGCATCTGGCAGGTGCCCCACTGGGACAAAACTTCCAGAGGAAGGAACAGCCAGCAATCTTTGCTGTTCTGCAGCCTCCGCTGGTGATACCCAGTCAAACAGGGTCTGGAGTGGACTGCCAGCAAACGGCAGCAGATCTGCAGCAGAGGGACCTGACTGTTAGAAGGAAAACTAACAAACAGAAAGGAATAGCATCAACATCAACAAAAAGGATGTCCACACAAAAACTCCATCTGAAGGTCAACTACATCAAAGACCAAAGGTAAATAAATCCACGAAGATGAGGCAAACCAGCACAAAAAGGCTGAAAATTCCAAAAACCAGAATGCCTCTTCTCCTCCAAAGGATCACAACTCCTCACCAGCAAGGAACAAAACTGGACAAAGAATGAATTTGATGAATTGACAGAAGTAGGCTTCAGAAGGTGGGTAATAACAAACTCCTCCGAGCTAAAGGAGCATGTTCTAACCCAATGCAAGGAAGCTAAGAACCTTGAAAAAAGGTTAGAGGAATTGCTAACTAGAATAACCAGTTTAAAGAAGAACATAAATGACCTGATGAAGCCGAAAAACACAGCACGAGAAATTTGTGAAGCACACACTAGTATCAATAGCCGAATTGATCAAGCGGAAGAAAGGATACCAGAGATTGAAGATCAACTTAATGATATAAAGCATGAAAACAAGATTAGAGAAAAAAGAATGAAAAGGAACAAACAAAGCCTCCAAGAAATATGGGACTATGTGAAAAGACCAAACCTACGTTTGATTGCTGTACCTGAAAGTGATGGGGAGAATGGAACCAAGTTGGAAAACACTCTTTGGGATATTATCCAGGAGAACTTCCCCAACCTAGCAAGACAGGCCAACATCCAAATTCAGGAAATACAGAGAACACCACAAAGATACTCTTCAAGAAGAGTAACACCAAGACACATAATTGTCAGATTCACCAACGTTGAAATGAAGGAAAAAATGTTAAGGGCAGCCATAGAGAAAGGTCGAGTTACCCACAAAGGGAAGCCCATCAGACTAACAGTGAGTCTCTCTGCAGAAACCCTACAAGCCAGAAGAGAGTGAGGGACAATATTCAACATTCTTAAGGAAAAGATTTAACCCAGAATTTCATATCCAGCCAAACTAAGCTTCATAAGCAAAAGAGAAATAAAATCCTTTACAGACAAGCAAATGCTGAGACATTTTGTCACCACCAGGCCTGCTTTACAAGAGCTCTTGAAGGACGCACTAAATATGGAAAGGAAAAACCAGTACCAGCCACTGCAAAAACATACCAAATTGTAAAGACCATCAACACTATAAAGAAACTGCATCAACTAACTGGCAAAATAACCAGCTAGCATCAAATTGACGGGATCAAATTCACACATAACAATACTAACCTTAAATGTAAACAGGCTAAATGACCCAATTAGAAAATACACACTGGCAAATTGGATAAAGAGTCAAGACCCATCGTTGTGCTGTATTCAGGAGACCCATCTCACATGCAAAGACAATGGAGGAATATTTACCAAGCAAATGGAAAGCAAAAAAAAAAAAGCTGGGTTTGCAATCCTAGTCTCTGATAAAACAGATTTTAAACTAACAAAGATCGAAAAAGACAAAGAAGGGCATTACATAATGGTAAAGTGACCAATGCAACAGGAAGAGCTAACTATCCTAAATATATATGCACCCAGTACAGGAGCACCTAGATTCATAAAGCAAGTTCTTAGACAAAGAGATTTAGACTCCCACACAATAACAGTGGGAAACTTTAACACCCCACTGTCAATATTAGACAGATCAGCAAGACAGAAAATTAACAAGGATATTCAGGACTTGAACTCAGCTTGGGACTAAGAGGACCTAATAGACATCTACAGAACTTTCCACCTCAAATCAACAGAATATACATTCTTCTCAGCACCACATCACATTTTTTCTAAAATTGAACACATAATTGAAAGTAAAACACTCCTCAGCAAATGCAAAAGAATGGAAATCATAACAAACAGTCTCTCAGACCACAGTATAATCAAATTAGAACTCAGGATTAAGAAACTCACTCAAAACTGCACAACTAGATGGAAACTGAATGACCTGCTCCTGGATGACTACTGGGTACATAACAAAATGAAGGCAGAAATAAATAAGTTCTTTGAAACCAATGAGAACAAAGACACAACGTACTAGAATCTCTGGGACACAGGTAACGCAGTGTTTAGAGGGAAATTTATAGCACTAAACGCCCACTGGAGAAAGTAGGAAGGATCTAAAATTGATACCCTAACATTGCAATTAAAAGAACTAGAGAAGCAAGAGCAAACAAATTCAAAAGTTAGCAGAAGACAAGAAATCACTAAGATCAGAGCAGCACTGAAAGAAATAGAGACACAAAAAACCTTCAAAAAATCAATGAATCCAGGAGGTGGTTTTTTGAAAAGATTAACAAAATAGATAGACCACTAGCCAGACTAATAAAGAAGGAAAGAGAGAAGAATCAAATAGTCACAATAAAAAATAATAAAGGAGATGTCACCACTGATCCCACATAAATACAAACTACCATCACAGAATATTATAATCACCTCTATGCAAACAAACTAGAAAATCTAGAAGAAATGGATAATTCCTGGACACCTACACCATCCCAAGACTAAACCAGGAAGAAGCTGAATCACTGAGTAGACCAATAACAAGTTCTGAAATTGAGGCAGTAATTAATAGCCTACCACCCAAAAAAAAGCCCAAGACCAGACGAATTCACAGCCGAATTCTACCAGAGGTACAAAGAGGAGCTGCTACCATTCCTTCTGAAACTATTCCAAACAATAGAAAAAGAGGAACTCCTCCCTAACTCATTTTATGAGGCCAGCATCATCCTGATACCAAAACCTGGCAGAGACACAACGACCAAGGAAAATTTCAGGCCAATATCCCTGATGAACATTGGTGTGAAAATCCTCAATAAAATACTAGCAAACCGAATCCAGCAGCACGTCAAAAAGCTTATCCACCACAATCAAGTTGGCTTCATCCCTGGGATGCAAGGCTGGTTCAAAATATGCAAACCAAGAAATGTAATCCATCAAATTAACAGAACCAATGACAAAAACCACATGTTTATCTCCATAGATGCAGAAAAGGCCTTCAATAAAATTCAACACCCCTTCATGCTAAAAACTCCCAATAAATTAGGCATTAATGGAACATATCTCAAAATAATAAGAGCTATTTATGACAAACCCACAGCCAATATCATACTGAATGGGCAAAAGCTGGAAACATTCCCTTTGAAAACCAGCACAAGAAAAGGATGCCCTCTCTCACCACTCCTATTCAACATAGTATTGGAAGTTCTGGCCAGGGCAACTGGGCAAGAGAAAGAAATAAAGAGTATTCAAGTAGGAAGAGAGGAAGTCAAACTGTCTCTGTTTGCAGATGACATGATCCTATATCTAGAAAACCCCATCATCTTAGCCCAGGAAAAGCTTCTTAAGCTGATAAGCAACTTCAGCAAAGTCTCAGGATACAAAATCAATGTACAAAAATCACAAGCATTCCTATACACCAATAATAGACAAATAGAGAGCCAAATCATGAGTGAAAGCCTATTCACAATTGCTACAAAGAGAATAAAATACCTAGGAATACAACTTACAAGGGATGTGAAGAACCTCTTCAAGGAGAACTACAAACCACTGCTCAAGGAAATAAGAGAGGACACAAATAAATGGGAAAACATTCCATGCTCATGGATAGGAAGAATCAATATTGTGAAAATGGCCATAATGCCCAAAGTAATTTGTAGATTCAAATTACTATCAAGCTACCATTGACTTTCTTCACAGAATTAGAAAATACTACTTTAAATTTCATATGGAACCAAAAAAGAGCCTGTATAGCCAAGATAATCCTAAGGAAAAAGAACAAAGCTGGAGGCATCATGCTACCTGATTTCAAACTATACTACAAGGCTACAGTAACAAAAACAGCATGGTACTGATACCAAAACAGATATATAGACCAATGGAACAGAACAGAGCCCTCAGAAATAATGCCACACATCTACAACCATCTGATCTTTGACACAGCTGACAAAAACAAGAAATGGGGAAAGGATTCCCTATTTAATAAATGGTGTTGGGGAAACTGTCTAGCCATAGGCAGAAAACTGAAACTGGACCCCTTCCTTGCATCTTATACAAAAATTAGCTCAAGATGGATTAAAGACTTAAACATAAGACCTAAAACCATAAAAACTCTAGAAGAAAACCTAGGCAATACCATTCAGGACATAGGCATAGGCAAAGACTTCATGACTAAGAAAAAAAAAACACCAAAAGCAACGGCAACAAAAGCCAAAATTGACAAATGGGATCTAATTATACTAAAGAGCTTCTGCACAGCAAAAGAAACTATCATCATAGTGAACAGGCAACCTACAGAATGGGAGAAAATTTTTGCAATCTATCCATCTGACAAAGGGCTAATATCTAGGATTTACAAGGAACTTAAACAAATTTACAAGAAAAAAACAACCCCATCAAAAAGTGGGCAAAGGATATGAACAGACACTTCTCAAAAGAAGGCATTTATGCAGCCAACAAACATGGAAAAAAGCTCATCATCACTGGTCATTAGAGAAACGCAAATCAAAACCACAATAAGATACCATCTCACCCCAGTTAGAATGGTGATCATCAAAATGTCAGGAAACAACAGGTGCTGGAGAGGATGTGGAGAAATAGGAACGCTTTTACACTGTTGGTGGGAGTGTAAATTGGTTCAGCTATTGTGGAAGACAGTGTGGTGACTCCTCAAGGATCTAGAACCAGAAATACCATTTGACCCAGCAATCCCATTACTGGGTATACCCAAAGAATTATAAAGCATGCTGCTATAAAGACACATGCACACATATGTTTATTACAGCACCATTCACAATAGCAAAGACTGGGAACCAACCCAAATTCCCATCAGTGATAGACTGGATAAAGAAAATGTGGCACATATTCGCCATGGAATACTACACAGCCATAAAAAAGGATGAGTTCATGTCCTTTGCAGGGACATGGATGAAGCTGGAAACCATCATTCTCAGCAAACTAACACAGGAACAGAAAACCAAACACTGCATGTTCTCATTTATAAGTGGGAGTTGAACAATGAGAACACATGGACACATGGAAGGGAAAATCACACACTGGGACCTGCTGGTAGCTGGGGTGATAGGGAAGGGATAGTATTAGGAGAAATACCTAATGTAGATGATGGGCTGATGGGTGCAGCAGACCACCATGGCACATGTATACCTATGTAACAAACCTGCATGTTCTGCACATGTATCCCAGAACTTAAAGTATAATAAAAAAAACCAAAAAGATTAAAGTAAATATTAGACATAAAATATCATCACCTTTGAAACTATTGCTACAAGTATAATAGAGGGTGATATGAAAAATTTTATTTTTATTTTCATTTTATTAAATAATTTTTCATTTTGTCATCTTCGTGGTAATTTGAAAGGTGCCCCTTACATGGCATTCAGTAAAAGAGATTATTAAGTCCAAGCACAATGAGCCTAAAATGCTCTCCGTCTCACTTCTCACCTACTCACCTTCATGTTTGAGCTAACTTCCCACTACCACCTTTGCGCCCAATTTATGTAGGATTCCTGGAACTTTCAAAATATCACACTTCTGACCCACATATGCATTTGTAAAAACTGTTTAATTCCTGCTTCTCTGCATTAGACTCTAATGTTCACCATGGCAAGTGAAGGGGAAAATGTCTTTTTTGTTCACCATTGCATCCCCAGTGCAAATAGGTATTCCACAAATATTTATGGAAAAACGAGAATAAACAAAGACTTTAAGGCAGAAGGACTAAATAGCAAACCGTATTTACTCTAAGCTGCTTGACTAGTTCCAATAAGAAAAGGGAAAATAATGTATATCTATTTTATAATATTCTGTGTAGATCTACTTTTTCTTAAATCTCCCACCATTTCCCGGCCTTCAGTTTCCACAGGAAATGTTGGAGTCAATACCAGGACTTCAAAAAGAACACTTTGGCACCATAATCACTCCATCAGTAGGATCCAAGGATCCCGCTCAAGCAGCCAACTGCATGCTTTTCACACAACCGCAGAATGTTGCAATCCCCCATTAGAGGACCAAAGTGGGAGAAAAAATCTCTTTTCCCAGATTTTAGCACCTAATTATATCAAAAGAAGCTGCCCACTAATTCCAGAAAAAACACAGAGATGGTATTCACCAACAGAGTAATGAAAAACACGCTTTTACTCCACTATTTTGGAATATCAATTAGAAAATACTCTCTTAACAGGTTCCTGTCTGGATAGGTTTTTGACTTGTAAAATGCCTTTCACTGTAATTGAAATGAATCATTCATTTCCTATGGAAATGTTCTACACTTGAGATTGCATACAACAGTGAATTGCAAAAATTAATTTCCCCTGAAGAGGGAAATTTAATATTTATATACATGTGCACACACACACACACACACACACACACACACCCTTGTTTTCTGTCCAGTGAAATTTGGAAACTTAGGAAAACATTTTTCTGCATCACATTTCTGTTATAAACTTTCCCTGTGCATGATGAAAACCACTTTCCCCTGGTTTATCCCTGAGGAGAAAAGCAAATGTTTAAGGGACATATCTGCTCTAGAGTAAGCAGTCTATGTGCAAAGGAGGCATACAGAACCTTTGTAATTCAAGCACACCTATCTATGGTGATGATGGTGGGGAGTGAGGAGTGGGGAGACAGAATGATCTAATATGTAAAATGAAACAGTATTAACCAAAGATCTATAGCAATATTTGCATTCAAACAATGAACAAGTTAGTTGAAATTATAGATGGGTCATATTTGACAAGGCATTTGTAAGATTCTCTATGACAGCTTAAATTATCATTTGTAATACATACTCCATTTAATTGTCAAAAGATTTAGGACAGCTTACAATAAAAGTAGATCATAAGTAAACAGGTGATTAAACATGAAAATAGACATCACAACCATGAAATAGAAAGATATTTGTAGGATAGTAGTTGAAAAATAAGATAATTACTAAAAATTGAGCACTGAATTTGACCCTGAGTGTCCTCATAGGCAATGCAAAAATGGAAACTTAATGGATGTTTAGCTCTTCTTGGTTAAAAAATCTCATGTCAATTGCACTAGGGGGAAATTAAAAAATCTCATGTCAATTGCACTAGGGGGAAAAATCTTTTTCTCATCCTAAGTTCCATGAGAAATTTTCTACATGCCTTCTTATACAAATGGGAGATTAGATAATAACATAATGGACCCGTTCAAAGTGATTCTGAAAAAATATAAAAATGTTTTTCATTAACTATTTTTCATTTCATCCCTCTTATAAATTGCATATTAAAGCGTAATTCATTGAAGATATTTCTCAGGGTAGCTAAATTAATACAGTCCAAATATTTACTCCAGAGTGATCCAAGTAACTGCAAGGGACAGAACTGATAGACCATAGAAAACTGTCATTCAAACAGCTTTAAGCCAGGGAAAACTATCTCAGCTTACTGAGAAACTAGACATGTAAAACATAAAAGTACAGCTGCTCTGACTAAAGATGGGACGGGGGAAGTCTGAGACCCTACTTTTCAGTTCCCCTCTTTACTTTACTCCTCCACCCCTGCCTCTGGTCAGCTCCAAGGATCTAGTAGACCTCAGACTGGAGTATAGATGCACTGTGTATTACAAAAGAGAAACTCACATGCATGGTACATATAATAAGGGAGCAGGGCGTTCCCTTGAAAGTTATTACTAACAGGCTGCCAAAGAAAAGTGTGTTTCTGAAGAGTGCCCTGCATAAAACAAAATAAATCAGTATCAAAGCAATTTCCATATGAGTTCTCATGAGTTTAAGACAGAGTTTTTAAAAAATAAAATATACAGGCTTTTCCTCTAAATTTATAAGACATTGCTAATTATTGCTGAAAACGTAGAAGATTCAGAGACCACAAAAATTAAAATGATATATAACCCTACTTCTCAGAGAAAACCAATAACATTTTATTATATTTTCTTTTTTGTATGCACTCATACATACTTTGAAAAAATAGATTAGGATGAATACACTTCTTGGAAACCTGTTATTTCTACATATTATAAGTGTTTTTCTACTTTATTAAGTATTCTTCCAAAGTATCATTTTTCATGTCCTCATGGTGATTGTATGGTTGAAACAATCTTGCCAATATCCAACATCTGGCCACCTAAGTTATCTGTACAGTTAATCAACTGTGCTACAATGAACATTCTAGGATATATAATGTATAATCAACTGTGCTGCAATGAATTTTCTAGGAGATACATCTTTGCTTTTTTTCATAACGAATATTTAGAACCCCATTGCTGAATCAAACGGCAAGCTATGTCTAAGTATTTTGATGCCCATAACTAGTTTGCCCTCAAAACAAAACAAGAAAGTTGTAGAAATTTACAATTGTAGCAGATTTGCTTCCTTAGGCAGCAAATTCTGAAATGGAAGTTAGTGTAGTAGATGTTTATTAAAGAGAGCTCTTAGAATCAATTTCTGTGGAAGGAAGGATTGAGCAGAGGCAGCAGTGCAGCCACAATGAAAGCTCAACAATAACTCTCAGCTGACTCCATGGGGAGCTCTGAAACTAGACTGGTTCTTCAGAATTGTCCTGAATTGGGCTGAAACGACTAGGGATTTATACATCCCCATTTCTTCCACTGAGGCCATCTCTGAATCCCTGCAGATAAGACAGTTCCAGCAGCTAGCTCAACAAGTGCTCCGTTGAACGAGGACCTGGGCCACATATCACAATGTGGCCACACACTAATATCCCTAGCACTGTATGAGCAGGTCTGGTTCCCCTCACTTTGACACCACACTAATATGACACCTTTTGGTATCATTAACTATTTCACTCCTGTCATTTGAAAGGTGAATAATGGCGTCTTGTTTTTGGCAATTTGGGTTTTTTTGTAAATAATTTGCTTATTTTTGATGTTTGCCCATTTTCCTGTTAGAATGATTTGCTTGGTTCGGGGGCGGGTGTTGATTTGTTCTTTTTTAAAAAGCTCTTTACATACTAACAATATTAACCCTCTTGTAAACAATGCAAATATTCTTTCTCAGCCTAGATGTATATCCAAAGTTTTTACAGTATTTGATGGCAGAAACTTTCAGTTTATATGGTTAAATCTTTTTATCTTCTTTATGATTTCTGACTTGGGAATCATGGTAATTGTGCTTAGAAAGGTCTTTGTCACCCCAAGATTGTATTAATAGTGACCTGTATTTTTATTTATGTATAATGTTTATTTTATCAGGAAACTCTTGTCTTAAATAAGGTAAAGAAATAATATTTCCCCAAATAGTCAATTATCTCAACACCATTTATTATTTGTATTTTCTCTGATATTTTGAAATATCAATTTAATCAGGTTCTAAATTCTTATTATACTAACATCCAATGAATTTCTAATCTATTTTCAAGTCCCTATTGAAAAATGATTCATGAACAGTGTGCTTCAATGTGTCACACTGCACGGGATGCCTTGTGTACACATTTTACCCAAAGATTCCTAGTATGTCTCAAAAAGACTAATTTGACATTAAAAAAAATTTAATTAAATATTAAATATGAACATAATTTTCAATTCTGAATGGAGACTTTTAATTATGTCCAGCAACTGCTTTACCTATAGAATGCTAATATTACTTAGAATCATTATACACCACTTAGGTACCTTCTGTTTAAATAGCCAAGATGATTCTTTCTATTACTCTAGACCCAAGAGACTTAATCCTATTAAAAGTAATTCACATTAGCATGATTAAGAAGATAATCCTATCTGGCCTAAATGCAGTTCCTTTCTTCCTTCCTTTTTCTCTTTCTTTCTCTTTTCTTTTTTTTTTCTCTGAACAATACAACTTAGTTGTGTGTTTCTTTTGCCTACAAGAGAAAGAAACAGAAAGATAGAGGGGCCAATATGGACAATGCTATCTCTACAGCTTCTTCTGCCTTTACATCAAGCAGTCAATCTCTATACAATAAATTGATAATAAAATAGCAGTTACACACATTTAATAAAAAATTTAGTTGCTGAAATTCTGCCCCATGAAGGGCACCACACTCTGCCTTTTACCTAAATAAAGATGGTCAGTCATCCTTTCCGTTGCAGGGAGAAATTAGTCTGGTTCAACTTCAAGCTCTGGGTCACCTGGAGGAGTCTGAGACGTGTCGTCAGTCTCTCAAATGTCTGATGGTTACTCAGTGAAAAAAGAAATTACTCCGACCCACTCTACTAAAATATTAACTCTTTAGTTGGTTCAATATTAATGCTCTTTCCCCCACATAAAACTTAATTCCCAATGCAATAAATTCTTCAAAATAAAATTTAAAGGATGCTTCAGGTATGCCTGCTTAATACTTTTCCTCCCAAGAAAATATGCAGAATAATTATGTCCATATTTTGCTGCGTATTATACCAGCTTCCTGATTACATTATCACATGCTAAGGCTATGTGACTAAAATCATGGCAGAATCTCCACAAAAGGTTCTTTATATCATTCCAGTGGTGAGGATGAGGAAGAAAAGAACTCAATCAAGTACTTTCCAGTAAATTGAAATGTCTTTGTTCACATCATAGAAGTATAGTGACACCTAGTAAAGACACAAGGTGAGATTATGAGCTCTGAATTCAGGTATCTTCTGTTTCCATTCCCCACCCTTCAGACTCCCTGAAAATGTACTTCCGCCACACACATTCTTGTTTTCTTTGTTCTACATCAAAATGAAAAAGCCAGTTCCTACAAAAGGCTCTCCCTTCCCCCTTGTGCTCTCCTTGTTGGGACCTTGCTCCAACAATTAGCCCCTCTTTCCTGCCACCTCCCTCCCCTTGGGCTCCCTGTTTATGGCCTGTAATACTCATGCCACATCTTAAAATCCACCTCCCTTCTTCCTGTTTGTCACACCTTATTTCTCTCCCTCAAACTTCTGAAAGAGTTGTCTGTATTCTGACTTCATTTTCTCACCTACTTTTCCTTCAATTTACTAAAATCTGTGTCTTGCTCTGGCAGACCACTGAAACTACCCTTGTTAAAGATCGAATACCAAGCCCAATAAATTATTTTCAACTCTTTTAGTATCCGATCTCTCTGTAACATTTCACACTGTCCACTCCACACTTCCTGGCATTTCCTCCAACCCTTCTGCAGTGGCTCTCATCCCTGATTGTTTGGCTTCACTCGCCATCCAGTTGACTCTTCTTCTCCCACCTGCCATTCATACAGCAGTGTCACTGGGACTCTCTACCAGGCACTGTTTATTCCCACACACTTTCCTGGGAGTTCTCACCTATGCCATGGCCTCAAGCAGCTATACATTTATGAATCTCAGCTCTCAATGTTCAATCCAAATCTGTCTCCTAAGTCTTAAACTACCAAATAGTTTTACCCAGATGTCTCACTATTTACAAATATATCTGCAAGAGAATTGATTACCTGCTCATCTGAGGCTAAGAAAAGACATAAAAACTTTCTCTTCTCATTAGCACCTATTTTTACCAACCTTCATGACAACTTCCAAATTTTCTTTCAATTAATTCTATCCCTTCAAGAGCCGTCTTTAGTGTAGCGAGACATCTCAGATAATACCCAACAGGAATGGCATTGGTGGGACAGAGGTGTTATCGGGGAGGATCCCTGATGAAAATTCCTAATTAGCTCTCGACCTACTCATAACTCCATTCTGTTTTTCTTGATCCTTATTCAGCTCCTAGTTTAAGGGGTTGTTTCTTTGTGTTCACATCAATGTGCACAAAAGAATCACCTGGAAAGCTTGCACAAATGTGGATTCCAAGACTCATTCTCAGATATTCTGACTCAGGAGGTGTGAGTGAAGCCCAGAAATTTGCTCTTTAACAAGTACCCCAGGTGATGATACCGCAAGTGGTCCATGGTCCCCACTTTGATTCTTCAGATTTTCACCTTCTGCAGTCCTACTAGTTTGATGTGACAAGGAATTTATTTCTCTGATTCTTGACTATCCCTTTGTTGAGAGTTCCTGGTAGATACTTTTTTTTTAATGGTAGGGCAGAGAAAGAGATCAGTAAAACCTTCAAAAGAGTAACTTTTTGCAAAAACTGTAGCAGATTGCAGGGTTTGGAAAATGATGTGGACGCGGGGGAATGAAAACCCCAAGACATTGCTTCTTTTCACTCAAAGTGTCTAACAAAAATAATGCAAATAATTACAATGAAGCTTTGTGGAGGCAATAAGATATTAAGTAGAAAGAATGGGGCAAAGAGAGAGGGCCATGCCACAGAGGCAGCATAACTTGAAAATGCTAGAGAGAAGAGAGAATGATTGAAAGAACACAATTTTGAAGCAAGTGGGATGAAACACAGGCAAGAAGTTTTGTGATGCCCACCTCTTCCTCCTAAATCTCATTTGTTCCACAGACATGTTGGATTCCAATCAAAAGTTTCAAGTATATTTTCTACACATATAGATAAATGAGTGTAGTTGTCATTAATACCTTTGACCACGCAACATTTCTCTTACCTTCTTTTGGAAACAGTGGCACTTGCCTCCCTTAGGGAGCTTTCCCTTTTCCTCCAGTTCTGACTCTAAGATATACTCCAAAAAGAAGCTGCCCTGTTTTTACATAATCCTCTTGTGCAGCCTATCACAGGTGGGTACCCTACCACAAGTGGGTACTCTTCCTAAGATGAGCCATTCAGGATTTCTCTTCTGGATTTTTTTTCTAATTAAACTAAGGAGATAACTTCTTTTCTGGGACAAAACATGTAAGATAGGAAGCCAAGAGGCATAAGAAGCCATAGGATCCTGCCTTCTGGGATATGTCAAATTGCAACAGGAGAAGCTAAAATGGAAAGACAGATAAACAATATAATCAACACCTGCCTTTGAGCCTCTGGTTCCATTCATCCACAAAGACTTTCATACTTGGCTTTCATAAATAATAAATTCCCCATTTGTGCTTAAGCTACAATAGTGATGATTTTATTACCTGAAATAAAAAAATTTCTGACCAATGAAATTATCCCTTCCATTGGTCCTAAACAAAGAGCACAGGGGGGAATTAGAGAACACTAAGTTTATAGGAGATGGGACAGCATTATAGAGAACCCTGTAGGTCATGACAAGGAATTTGAAATTAGCAATGGGAAGCAAATTTGTAGGATTTGACCAGAGATGCTATAATATAATTTGCACTGTAAAAGATGAATGTTATTGCTGTGTGCAAAACAGATTATAGATGACTGAGAAAGTGGGGGAAGTATGAAACACTTGAGACTCCTTAGGAAATGCTTACAGTGGTGCTGGTGAGAGAGGTTGGCAGCTTACACTACTAAAGTGAGAGGAGTGAAGATAGTGAGAAGTGGTTGGAAGCTGGAGTTTTTCCAGTAAAGCCAACAGGGCTTGTTGAAGGAATAGAGTATTTCCTTAGGATAAATTCCTAGGGGGGATGTTATGGGGTCAGAAGATAAAAATAACTTTCTTATGTCTTTTTTAAAGTGAGTATAACAATTTGCAAATCCTCATTAGAAGGGACTCGTTTCTCCCCGTGCTTAAACAAACACTGAATATTCTCATGGGTTTTTAGAAAATCTTTGCTAATTAGATAAGCAAACAAAAAATAGTATTGCATTATAATCTTAATGACACTTGTAATATTGTAAAAAATTTATGCACGGATTATTTTCTTTGTGGGAAAATGATCATTTCTTATTTTTTGTCCCTTATGTATTAGGTTCTTTGTGTATGTCTTATAGATTTATATGAAGTCCTACAAATGCCTTTTGTTAAAAATATTAATCTTTTGTTCTATTTGTTGTAATTATTTTCTTATGTTACTGTTTGCCTTGTGGTTTTAGTTATATCCTTTTTATCATTTGTAATGTTTCAGTTATTAATGAACTATCATCTATCCAACTTGTATTAACTAATTTCTTCTTGATCAATTGCCTTTAAGCTTAGAAAGTTCACTTAGCCCAATCAGGAAATCTTATAGAAATCTATGCTTTTGGTGGTGGTGGTGGTGGTAGTAATTTTTGGTTTAACTTTTTTCCTACGTTTAACTGATTGAATCCTCCTAAATTTTATTTTGTTTGTGCTATGAAGGATAACAATTCACTGTTTTCCCAATTGTCTCAAACCATATATTAGATAACCAGAGAAATATTATTAAAGAATAACAAAAAGTATGCAGGTATGCAATATAATAAAATCACAGTGCTTGGTAACCAACTAAGGGTAGTGAAAGAAATAGCATTGAGATTGCATACTCTAGAGCAACATTTTCCTAATTGGTATGCCTCAGAACATCAATCTTCTGAGCCAATTCCTGAAATAAAGGTATTATTTGAATAAGTTTGGGGTACCCTACTATATCCCCCTCCCACATGGAAGAATAGTGGGGCACATTTGTATCAAAAACTTGAAAAGTCTTACTGCAATTTGTTTAACTCTACTAACTTAGTGTTTTCCAAATTATTTTTAATAAAAACCCTTGCTTCAAATAACTCTGCTATAGACTGAACGTTTGTGTTACTCCCGAAATTTGGATGTTGAAAGCCTAACTGCCAATGTGAAGGTATTTGGAGATGGGGCCTTTAGGAGGTAATTAGGTTAAGAGTGTGAAGCCCTCTTGAATGGAATTCGTGCCCTTATAAGAAGACACAGGAGAGCTTGCTTCTCTGCTCTCTGTCATATGAAGAAATAGTGAGAAGACAGCCATTTTCAGACCAAGAAGGAGGCCCTTTACAGAACTTGACCATGCTGGCTCCTTGATCTAGGACTTCCCAGCCCCCAGAATCAGGAAAAATAAGTGTCTATTGTTTAAGCCACCCAGTTTATAGTACTTTGTTATAGCAGTCATAACTGACAAACACCAGAAACAACCAAAGGCATTGGTGCACCATGGAACACACATGAGGTCATAACAGTAATGATTTCAAGATGTATTCAGACCAGTGCTCCACCTTCTGCAACATGGTTTACTGTGTTGAGATTCTATTTATATCTGCATGTTATACCAAATAAGTAGCTGTTTACATACAAAATCATACCTAATTTTGTAATATGGTAACTATTTTTTAAAATCTTTGCAGTTTTAACTCCATAATATACAGGATTCAAAATAAATGCAAATAATTCATGTCATTCAATATATAATGCTGTATTAGGCCATTCTCACACTGCTATGAAGAAATACCTAAGACTGGGTAACTTATAAAGGAAAGAGGTTTAATTGATTCACAGTTCTACAGAGTTGGGGAGGCCTCAGGACACTTACAATCATGGTGGAAGGGGAAGCAAACATGTCCTTCTTCATATGGCAGCAGAAGAGAAAAGTGCAAAGCAAAGGGGGAAAAAAGCCCTTTATAAAACCATCAGATCTCATGAGAACTCACTATCATAGCATGGGGGAAGCGCCCCCATGATCTAATCACCTCCCACCAGGTCCCTCCCCTAACACGTGGGGATTACAATTCAGATGACAATTCAAGATGAGATTTGGGTGGGGACACAGAGCCAGACTATATCAAATGCTAATATGTGTATTTCTATAACTGGAAAAAATGCTTCACCCACTCTGAAAAAGAGACTTTTTTTAACTCCAGCTAACATCATTGAGTTACTCTGATTAAGATAAATGAAACATAAGAAACAAATGGTGAAGTGAGATAATACCTAAAATTTAATAATTCAAGATAATTTTTCATCCAGATACATTAGATAGGAACTTGCATTTGCATATTTTTCCAATTGCTATTTTCATCTTTCTTAAATTGATAGGGTCACCTACACTATCCCTGATAATACACTATGTCTTTAATGTATATTAATGTAAGTATTTGAACTAGTAAAAACGTCACCAAAAGACCAGAATCTGTCTTAAGAATAACATGGCTTCAGATGACTTCATTCTCTAAAAATAACCACACACAACAGTATTTGTTGCAACAAACATTTATATACAATGTTCCACAAATATATCATGCAGGGGTCTAGAATGTTGACGTCTTCTTAGTATAAATGAAGTCCGAGTGAGTAATTTCTAGGCAGCATTTTTCAGGTCAAACTGAAAATGGTACTAGCAGGAAGATGCTAGAAGCATTCAAGTTAAAAAGCATTCAAGTTTTTTTAAAATGCAGTTTTGAATGGGGCATTATTCTCAGTGAATTAATTCAAATGTGCTTGCTTTGACTATATAATTATTATGATTTTTCTACTAGAACCTCACTATAATATTATCTGCTGTCACATGTCAGCAAATCTTAGTGGCTCTTCATTCAAAATATATACAGAATTTAACTATTGCTCACCCCTTCCTCCACTGCCACCTTAGAAGAAGCCACAGAAATCTCTCTCTGACCTAGGCTATTGTGATAGCATATTAAATGATTTCCCTGTTTGCACCCTTGCCACCTCTACAGTATATTCTCCACACAGCAGTACAAGTATCTTTGGAAAATGTAAATTATGTCTCTCTTCTGCTCAAAACCCTCACTTAGAATAAATTCAAAGTCCTTACAAGAGCCTACATGATCTGTGCCCCTCCTCACCCCACCCATACCACCTCCTGGGCTCCATTCCCCTAACACTCTCTCCCTAGATCCCTGGGTTTCAGCCTTATTGACTTCTTTGCTTTTCCTCTGACACACCAAGGGCTTGTTCTCTGAAGAGCTTTGTCTTTGTCTAGAATGCTCTTTCCCCAGATATAGCTAAATCTTTATACTTCCTACATCTCTGTGCAAACCAAGGTTCAAATCCCAGCACCACCTGCCACCAGTTCTGTGGCTGCCATGGTTACCTATTCTTTCTTCTTCCTCAATCTCTTCTGTAGAAATGGAAATAATACCACATGCTCAGGCCTTTGCCCTCTTTGCTGGATAACCACTATCCTGAGATTTCTGCTTAGGTCTGCCTCATTTCCCTCAGGTCTCTGCTTATAGCTTATATGGTCTTTTTATCAGAAATCTTCCCTGATCACCCATAAAAAAATAGCACACACAACACCCCTCTGTCCTCCTTCTCCCTTTAACCTGCTTTATTTTTTTCACAGCAGTTTTTACTACCTAATATATTATATACTCATTTGTTCACATCTGTCTTCCTCCACTAAAACAAAAGTTCCTTCTATTTTAAATTTTTCTTTACTTTTTTTTTAATAGACAAGGTCTCACTTTGTCATCCAGGCTGGAGTGCAGTGGCTCAGTCATAGCTCACTGCAACCTTGAAGTCTGGGGCCAAGTGATTCTCCCACCACTTGAGCCTCCTGAGAACTACAGGCACACACCAACATGCCCAGCGTTTTTGTTTTTGTTTTTGTTTTCCCTTTGAAGAGATGGAGTCTCACTGTGCTGCCCAGGCAGGTCTTGAATTTGTGACCTCAAGCAATCCTCCCACTTTAGCCTCCCCAAAAAGCTGCTTTTTGATAGAGACTTGTGACTATTTTGTTCATTGCTGTACTCCACCATCTAGAATTGTGGCAAATATCTGGCAAACACACATAGCTTATCAAATAACGTATCTGTTGTATAAATTAAAGAAGAAATTAGTATGCATTTTACTTAATAAGGTGAATTCATTTTGAAAGTTAATAAAAGAGATTATTACTTAAATAATACATGGATTTCAATATAACCCAAGGTTTGCCTGTATCACACAATATATATCTGGAGAATAGTAGCCTTCAGTTCAGCATGATTTACACTGTGTAGAATCACAAGGTAAACTAGGGATGTAACAAAATAAATACCAGTCTAGATAATTCTGGCCTTCAGAGTAATTATATAGTGGTTCAAAATATACATTTTAATAATCTATAATAACAAAATTATCTAATAGCCTTTTGAAACCTCTACTCCCTGTACATGTGTGAAGAGTTGGGGCATTAAATCCAAACTGAAGAATATCAGATCTGATTATCAAAGTGCAGATCCATATTTATTGGCTCAATGAACTCTGTTAGCAGAGTTCCCATGCTAATACCAGTTTAATTTACTGTCAATAGTACACATTGTCTTCCATAAAGAAGCCCTAAGAGGTTGCATACCTATAGTAACAGATTCATTTTAATGAATTGTTTTCCATATTTAAAATGATCCCATGATATATGTTTGCCACAAAAAGTCAAACGAAATTTAATCATCTCCAATATTATTTGCAAATTTTTATGTTGGAGATTCTATTTTATATTAGAAATATATCCTTCTTTGAGTTAGAAGATAAAATCTAGGACCTCTCTTTGGAGACTATTTCCTTAGCTAAAACAATATGTATTCCCTAGCTTCTTTCTCTAGCAGCTAATCTATAAAGCTCAAATTAAGTAGTGTAAAAAGGGCCAACTTTATTAGATTGTTAAAATAGATAACTTCAAAAATAGATTTTCTGGGAAAGTGCTAAAGAAAATCCCTTAATATTCAAAATAGACACCTTGTCAATTAACCAAATCTATTAGCTGGCACAAATTAAATTTTTACCACCTTGTTTTTTCTATCTAACTTTCTAAAATATTCATAATGCATTGCAAGATTCTGAAAAGGGGTAGCTTGGGGTTGGGTGTTTTACAAGAGGCTTAATTTGTAAAGAAAATATATGAAAAAATGATTTTTGTATTCATATAAAATGAAGAAGATGGCTACTAGTTGTAATTCTGTTATATTAATATACACACACTGTTTTGTAACTGCTATGTCTGTGTATAATGTTGGCTATTACAATGTGAATTAATTGTCAAACAAATCACTTTCATGCTGAAGATAGTGTAGAGAAAATAAATCAAGTCCAAATCCAATGAAGCTTTATTCCATTCTTTCCCTCCAGGAATATCAGAATTCATTTAACTATCCATTTGTCCTAATGAAATTTTTTGTTGTACACACAATACAGGTGAGCCAAGCAGCATTCTCAATTTCATCTGCTTTCACAAACCAACAAACTACCAGAGTAGGCTGGTAGAAAGTACTGCAGACCCGGTTCCAGTCCTGGCTCCTGTTTCGATTATATGGCTCAGTTCAGTTTCCTCATATGAAACACATAGGAGGTAAACTATAGGACTTCAAACAGCTCTTGTTGGTATATTTTCGCCTTTTAAAAACGCATATCTTTAAAAGGGTCAGGAAGAGAGATAGTTTGTTTCTTCAACAATGATTACAGCTCTCACATTTTTCTAAAGCCACAGAAGAGAATTTTAGAGCTAATGAGACCTTCAGATTATTATCGAAGTGGGAGATTTGATGCTGTTGATTACCCCCTGCTTCTGGAAATTTACCTAAGTTTTCTTTATAAAATCTGATCATGTCACCTCTGGTTAAAAGCTTTTGTTTCTCCACTTGCTCACAGGTTGATTTGGACATCTTTCAATGGCACTACAGACAAAAAATCCATATAATTGAGCCCACAGAACCACCGCTGCTCCATTTCCTGCCACGCCTCTCTCTCCTTAAACATTTCAGCAAACAATATCCTTAAAAGGCTCTGCATTTATCTGCATACTGTTCCTTCCACTTCCAGGGTCCTTATTCTCGTTTTTCCTTGGCAAACTTATACCTGTAGGGTGCCCTCTATTGAGAACTTAATAGCTATCTATTTGTATTTCTATCACAGCCTTTATTACACTGTTATGTAACTTCTCTATTAAAGACAATCTACTCACTAAAGTATTACTTTTGAGGGGTAGGGGAAGAGATTCTGTCTCACTTATCTTTGTGTTGCCAGTATCTGGTACATAGTAAGTGTTCCATAAATATTTGCTTTATGTGGAACTGTAGATAGGTTTAGGCAATAAACAAGATCTGCTATGAGCCAGCTCCAGCCTCAGTTGCTGCCTGGTGCTGTTACAGTTACCTAAACAGTTATGGAAACATCCCCGGGATACATAAAGTACCTCCTCATAGTAAATCAAGTTTTGACAGTTTAAAGATGAAAAATACTCCTGTGATAAATTTATCACAGAAAGATTAGCACATCCTTCACTAAGCATTTTTTAAAAATAGAGCAAAGAGTACATATAAACAGAAACTCATTTATAAACACTTTTTATTGTCCTCAGTGGATGAAACGACTCTACAGAGCATGCTTAGTAATAAAAACGTGGAAAGTTCAGGAGGTCAGTTTTTCTCAAAAAAAAAAAAAATGCTTCAAGATATCCTTTGTCACCTGCAAGTGCCTTTGAGCATCATCATTTGCTTGCCAGTGCTGAGATGAAAATGTAACAGGAAATGATCTCTCCCCAAAGTCAATGAACTCAATTCAAGTAAGGACACACTTATGATTAGAAAATGTAAATCTGTGTGTTGAAATTTATTGACACAAACTGTTAATCATTACAGCAGTAGAAGTAGCACCAAACTATTTTAAGGAAGAGTCTCCAAAAAGTTCTTGCCCTGAAGTGGGTCTGCAAAATCAAGATGAATTCTTAATTCAGGCTCCTTGGTCACTTCCTACACCAAGGTAGAAAATTATGTATATGATAAAGGGCAGCTTCTTATGGTCTTTTTAATATCAGAATTGATTTAACCTGCCAGAAATAAAATCCAGCAAATATTTTCTTAGAAAAAAATATCCTATATAAACAACCTATGTTACATTGTACATAATACATGTTCCATCTGATAACTTATATTTACTAAGCACATACCATGTGCCAGGCTTAATTGCTTATCATGTAATCATTCAATTAATCATTACAATCCCTTGAGGGAGAAATTGTTATTTTCATGTTTTAGTTGAGAAAACTGAGGCACAAAAAGCCTACATAATTTTTTACCTAACTTGGCTGGTTTGGATCAGAGCTGTGTTACAAATCTAAAGAGGCTGACTCCAACACTCTCCATCACCCCACCTCATTCTTCAACATTGACTATGTTATCCTCCACACAAGAGCAAGTTTTTAAAATAAATAGCTTTAATCGGCAATTTTTTTCTGATAACAAAAGTGAGCAATGTTCATTGTAAAACATTTCTGCAATAAAAAATAAAATTATATTTAAAAAGAAAGGATACAGACCTCAAAGAGCTTATAAAGAGGGCAAACTGTAACAGTGTGGCAATAGAATTAACTGTGGAACTTTGAAACCCACAGAAAAAGAGAAGACCTCATTATCAATTTGTGAGTCATGCTCTATTCTATAGATGATACTCTTCTTGAGTAGAAAGCAGCAACCACCTCTACCATCTGATAGTTTACATATAGGCTCAGCTCCAACATAAAAAAATAGGGCATCAGTGGTCAGAAACACCTCTCGATATTTATTACTCTCTACTGTAATTCGTAAGATACTAAGTGCTTGATATAATCGAAGACATTTTTGTGCCAGCAAGGCATATAATGACTTTTTCTAGTATATTTCTTGATGGCTTTATTTTAAGGAAAACATGGAAGAAATTAGAGTAACCTCAAGAAAGCTCAAACTTTTCCTATATCTTTTAAGAAAATGAACCTTTTTAAAAAACATATCTTGAATAAAATGAATAAAAATCACTGATGCCATGACTAAGAAAAATAATGTTCTAATTACATGTTTATCTTTTTAAAATTCAGATATGTCATATGTCAAAACCATATAGAAATTACTAAACTTTTCCTATGAGTTCTCCATATGTTGATCTTAACATGAAATATGGGTTCACCCTAGAATACTAACAGGCTTCTCCATGAAGCACTAAAAATTTTAAAGAGCAAAGTTTTAAAATTCTAAAGTACTTCATATTCACCATATATAATTTACAATATCAACTTTATGTTCATAGTGGCCTCAACAACTTAGGTAAGTGTTTTCTGAAAAAAAACAAAATTATAGAAGATATAGGTTTGTTATGTTTGTTTTAAAATACCGAAGTAGAAAAGTATATGTTATAAATTCATCCAGCTAACAATATACAATCAGCCCTCCATAACCATGAGTTCTACATTAGTGGATTCAACAGACAGCAAATCAAAAATATTTGGAAAACAATTTCCAGAAAGTTGCAAAAAACAAAACTTGAATTTGCTGTGGGCTGAGTACCACATTGAATTCACATGAATGAAGTGAGGTGTAGGCATTGTATTAGGTATCATAAGTAATCTGAGATTACTTAAAGTATAAGGTGGATGTGCATAGGTTATATGCAAATACTACTCCATTTTATATCAGGGACTTGAGCATTCTCAGATTTTGGTATCATATCTTTGGGAGCCTCTAGAACCAATCCTCCAAGAATATGGAAGAACAACTATAATGTTGAAGGCAATGACAGCCAGACTGTTAATACTTGGCACGATATAGGTGCAAGATAAATATTATATACTCAAAGTAGATTTTCCAAAACCAACACTCTTTTTTTATTTTTTATTTTTTTAAGAGAGATTCTTGCTCTGTTGCACATGCTGGAGGTCAGTAGCATCATCATAGTTCTCTGCAGCCTTGAACTTCTGGTCTCAAGTGATCCTCCCCTCTCAGCCTCCTAAGTAGCTAAGACTACAGGCATGCACCACCACAGCTGGCTAATTTTTTTTTTAAAGAGATGAAGGTCTTACTGCATTGCCCAAGCTAGTTTCAAACTCCTAGCCTCAGGCAATCCTCCTGCCTCAGCCTCCCAAAGCTCTGGGATTAGAGGTGTGAGCCACTGCACCCAACCATAGCACTTTCATTATTCTTCATCACTAAGGTTAAAATGAGACAACAGACTTTGGCATGTGTGATATTTTCAATAATCTAAAATAAATTAGAATTGATTGAATACATCAAACTGACAATTTAGTTTGGCTCTGTTTCCAGACTAAATTAGGATGAAATCTACATCTAAATCTATTTAATACATCCTGTATTAGAAATGACACAGTGGGCATGCAGTAATAAATCTGGTTAGTATTTCTGGGCCCTATTTTTAAAAACACAAAATTCAAGCTGACCCTGTTATCAAAGTAGACTTTGATCCATCATATGTGATGGATTTTAGTTATTAGTTATGATTAGAGTTATTGTAATACTTAACACAGAAAAATTTTCACATATCAAGACAGTAATTCCACTTGATTTTTGTTGGTGTCTTTTGATTTATTTGAAATCTACACAGTGCTATCAATTATATTTTTGTGCAAAAATAATTAATTGCAGAATGTGTCTCATCTTCAGAAAGCCTGCCACCTACCTTGTTTTATCAACCTCACCACATCAATGATGGAGAATGTAATTCTAGATATATCCAAAAATATAGAAATAAGTATTTTATAGATTTCTACCTTTACCTTTAGATTTATTAAAAACTGGTGCCAAAATACAGAAACTCTGCATTATTTCTGAGACTTTCTTAGTTACATTTTCTGGAGTTTATGTAAAAGAAATTATTAATCTTTTAGGAATTATTAATCTATTTAAAATCTGATGATAGTTATCACAGTTTCCTTTTAAAATGTACATATTCACAGTTTATACCCAATTTCAGGACGTCTATAGATCCCAAGTAAAGAACATGTTCTACAATGAGTATTTATGAATACATCCCTTTTCCAGAAAGGATGACACTAAAAATATATGATAACGCATTGGACTTCTCAAGAGAAAAATGGATCAGTGAGTTTATTGATGGAGAGCTGACATTTGAGGGGCTGATTACATAGGCAATGGAAGGGAAGTTCATCTGTCTAATGACAAATATATTTCACTTCCATAAGTGAATGCTTTTATAGCAACAAAAGGCCTATTCATATCTTTGACAAGCTGTCTTCACCAAGTTTCTCATAATTCCCAATTCAAGTGGCTCAGAGTTGCCACTGCAAGTAAAATGGTTCCCCTTTCCCACATCCATTAATACATTAACCAGATATTTATTGAGTATCTTCTATATGTTTGAATCCTTCCTGAACAATACTAGGTGGTATGGTTTGCTGTCCCCCAACCCAAATCTCATCTTGAATTCCCACATGTTGTGGGAGGGAGCTGGTGAGAGGAAATTGAATCATGGGGTCAAGGTCTTTCCCATGCTGGTCTCATGATAGTGAATAAGTCTCACAAGACCTGATGATTTTATGAGAAGGAGTTTCCCTGAACAAGCTCTCTTCTCTTGTCTGCTGCCACGTGAGATGTGCCTTTCACCTTCTGCCATGTTATGAGGCCTCCCCAGCCACGTGGAACTGTAAGTCCATTAAACCTCTTTCTTTTGTAAATTGCCCAGTCTCAGGTATATCTTTATCAGCAGCATGAAAATGGACTAATACACTAGTCTTCGAAGATACAGACACAAACAAGAGATATAGTGTCTCTACACTCATCGAGTTTGAATTCTAGTGGAAAGGAAGAGAAGCAATAAGCAAATAACCAAGATAATTTCAGAAAGTAATCAGTGCCATGAAAATTATAAAAGAAGGCCATCCAATGAGTGACTGAGGCAGGGGCAAAGAATCTGTAGAATGTGATATGGATCTGAAATCTCAAAGGATGAGAAAGAGTCAGCTGTAGAAAGATGCAGACATAGTATGTAGCAGAGAGAACATAAAATAAAATTAACAAATAATTATCAAACAACTTCTATTTAATAGGTAGTGTTCTAGCCCAGTACTTTTCAAACTATCTATGGTGAAGAATCAGTTTTTTGTTTTCTGGTGTTTGTTGTTTTTTTTTTTTTTTTTTTTGCTTTTCTTTCCCAATTTATTGTGGACCAATATTTTTATAAAATATAATAAAAATAAGCAATTAGAAAATGAATTTTAACATATTATTAAATTCAAGAAACGTAAAATTACATTTCAATACATATAATCAGAAAAAAACATAAAGGGGACAGAAGAATTATAATAAATTGCAAAATTGTGTGTGTTATTTATTAAAAGAAATTTAAAAGTGTGCACAGGCAATTGATATAGAGACTTTCTAATATACTTGTAACTTTTTGTCATTCCACAGTGATAACTAAAGAGTATGTAGAGAAATAGCAATTGCCCATATTAAATGCCAATTCATACACTTTGAACAAACACTGATATATCAGTATTTAAAGTTTTTAGTGGAATAAATGGGCTTGCATATTGCTTGTTAAATTATCTAATCAAGGTTGGATTAACAACAATGCTACTTGAAGGAAATAATGAGTTCTAAACACTTTCTGTTTTGTTTTAATAACACACAGTAAAGAAACCAGTCTCACAAAGGTATATTCATAGAAATAAAAGAGATTTTAAAGCAATTTTGGCAATTGCTTTAAATATTCATTTTTACCTTTTATACAAAATGAGGCAAATGATACATTTTCATCTTCAATCCTTCAACATAGCCAATTCTTAACAACTTATCCCGTAAAAGTATTGTAAAATCCAAACTAGTCTATTCTTTGTTCAGTGAGCACAGGCCACAGTATATAGACTTATCATATGAGTTTACTAATTATGAACACAGATATCATAAAAATGTCAAATTGCTATGAAAGCTTCTAAATACTTGCTTCAATTTTTAAACGTCTCATCACAGAACAGTTATAAACAATTATTAGACCCACAGCAGTTTGTAAAATATAGTTTGAGGAGTACTATTCTAGACTACCTTTTCTATAAACAAAAAAGCTATATGTTTTAAAATCATAAATTCACTGTAGAAGGATGCTTTCTACTCATCTCTCTTATAGATAGCAAGTATTAGAATTAGTAGCAATAAACACTCAGTGTTAACCAGGAAGGATTGCTGTCCAGATGAAAAAGGAATTTGGGATAATTTATGTCTCTGACTACCTGGCACTATTTTCAATATCTGGGACTTGTTCTAATATATACTTTCCTACAATGAGTATCTATTTATAAGTACTCAGATCATTCTCTTGGGCCACTCCTCTCAAAAAAAAAAAAAGAAAAGAAAAAGATATTAAAGTAATTTAGTGTATTGTAAAATCTAATAAGACTTTTTAAAAGTCTTATTCACTTAAACAATTTTATAATTTCAGCTTTTATTAGGTCAAATGACTGTTACTATAAATGGAATTGTAATCAGTGGTGGGCTGGAGCTGGCTCATACTAGTCTGAGTTGAACGAATTGTGTTCATCTCTTCCCACTCAGCATTCAATAATTTCAGGTTGGCAGTTGAAACCGTGCTTGACAGAAGTATTTACACCATGGAAGTCAGCAAACACTACTTATCAAGCCTTTTTTCCCCCAGAGATCTTGTTATTAAACATTTGCTGATTGTAATTAATGTTAATTTCAAATTTCTTTAAAGAGGAATTGACAAGATGGCATTATAAAAATTTGAAACATTTTAGGAACTATTTTTAAGACAGTCTCATTCACCATCTTTTAGAACTAGGCTAGGAAAAAGAAAATATCCTCCCGGACTATATCATAAAATCTATCATTCAGTAAATTTATATTATTGTTTATGTTTGTCCATATAGACATATGGGCACAAGGTCACAAGTAGGAGTAGCCATGATGCAATAGGTATATAAGAAGAAGAGTATATTATGTATATATATGCAAAATTTTTTTCAAACGTGAGGTAATAATTATAATTCCATTGGCCAGAATATACTTGCAAAACTCCACTAATTTCTTCTAGGCAACAACAAAAACTAGATCTGGTGAAAATTTTTTTGAAACAGTAAGAGAAAGAAAAGTCACTGTCTCAGGTAAAATGTAGCAGTGTTGGAAGTAGAACCCATGGTTTGCATCAACAAAGAAACAGCAGAGTGCACTAAAACAACTCAAATTCATCACTGAGAAATTATATTTTTAAAAAATTATTTTTTGGTTGGGCATAGTGGCTCATGTCTGTAATCCCAACACATTGGCAGGCCAAGTCAGGTGGGATAATTTGAGGCCAGGGGTTCGAGACCAGCCTGACCAACATGGTGAAATCCCGTCTCTACTAAAAAAATACAAAACAATTAGCCAGGCATGATGGTGCATGCCTATAGTCCCAGCTACCCAAGAGGCTGAGGCAGGAAAATCACTTGAGCCCAGGAGACGGAGGTTGCAGTGAGCCGAGATCACACCATTGCACTCCAGCCTGGTCGACAGAGCAAGACTCTGTCTCAAAAAAAAATTTTTTTTTAATGGGAAGATAACAGATGTTAAGGATTTAATAAATGTTGGGTAGATGGGTAGATAAGTGGCAAAAAAAAAAAAAAAAGACAGAAATGAGCAAGTTACCTTGCTGATTACAGTGGGATTCCAAGAAGGTTAGGAGTCATGTCAGGTCCCTCTAATCTGTGATCCTTGACTGAACACAGTCTGACTGTTGCTCTTGAAAATGCGTGCCTACAGACACAGCAGAAAGCCAGCAAATTCAGTGACTCACCATTATAAGCATCCTAATTCAGTGCACATGAATCTTGGGGACAGTGAGGCAGTAAGTAACCCCAGCTTTTGATACCAGGGGTTTCATAAATCAGTAACATCTACCTCATTATATTCACTTATTCTCCTAATCAAGCAAAAGTGCAGTGAAAACCAAAATTAGAAATAAGAGTAATACCAAACCTTAGGATAAACTTTTTCAAATATTGTGAAATAAAATATGTTTACAGAAAAAATGTTTAACACATTAGCTTCACCTCCACCTTATAACATTATCTTCTCAAAAGAAATCCTCTTAAAGAATGCTGTATTTTCCCTTGAATAGTTATCTTTTTATGCTATTTGAATCTGAGCTGATTTTCTCAGCACAGAAAAAAATAGGATCTTATGGAGAGATAAATGCTACTTAAAATAATGAAATACAGAATTAAGAAGATATTATAATAATTTACCCTTCCTATTTTGCAAAGATTTTCTTATATTGAAAGATATCTTTTTAGGAATTAAAAGTCCTCTGCTTTTTAAGTTATACAAAAGGATAATCTCTCTTTTCTCAGCTTCTTGCTCTCTTTTCTTGTTAAGAGAGGAAAAAGGCCACATCACAGTGGTGCTCACAAGCTACTTAACATTCTTCTTTTTCTAAGTGAGTTGTTGGTTCCCTGACACCTGCAGCCCTTTAATCACTATCATGATAGCTTAGTGATTGCTTAGTAACCTATGGTTTTAACAACTATATGTATATTGTCCTTATATTTCTTAGTTTCAAAGACAAAATAAGGCTTATGTCAATATTAACTTCAACATAGTTTAGCAGCTACAAAAACATCTTTATAAAAATGTAAACAATGTGCCAAAATGTTATCAGTATAGAAATAGAAGCAAAACTAGATGCCCATTCCATTTTCTGATCTTTCTCTTATTGATTCACATATTTTACAAATTAAAGATTATAATGAAAAATATGATAGTGTTTTGGGGATTTTTCAAAGGCTGCATAATTGCAGTCAATATAATAATAATGTCTTCATTTGAGATAGTTCTCTTGTCACAGGATATGAACACACTTACTACTAAATAATAGTATTAAATAAGATGAATGAGTAATAAAAATCCTTTGCACTGAAGTTTCAAGAGGCATACTCCCAGGCATAATTATGTATTCACAAGTCATCAACTTAACCTCATCTATTTCTTTTCATTTAGGAAAATAACAAAAGAATCACCACACATTTAATTTAGAAATAACTGTATTTTTCCTGAATTGTCACATATAATCCTCATGCAAAGAATTAACTATTCACAAAAAATAAAAATCAATAAAATGAATTACCTCACCAGAGAAAATCATCTTCACTAGAGGAAGACAGAAATGAAAGAAAGAAGGAAGAGAAGATCACAAAACAACCAGAAAACATATAACAAAATGGCAGGAGTAATTTCTTACTTATTAATAATAACAATGAATATAAATAAACTAAACCCTTCAATCAGAAGACATAGACTGGCTGAACAAATGAAAAAATAAGACCCACTGATCTGTTGCCTATAAAGACACACATAGACTGAAAATAACAGGATGGAAAAAGATATTCCATGACAATGGAAACCAAAAAAGAGCAGGAGTCACTGTACTTACATCAAACAAAATAGATTTCAAGACAAAAACTATAAGAAGAGACAAGGAAGGTCATTATATACTAATAAAGGAGTCAATTCATCAAGAGGATATAACAATTTTAAATATATATGCACCCAACATGGGAGCACCCCAATATATAAAGCAAAAATTTTTAAAGCTAAAGAGAGAGATAGGCCCCCATAAAATAATAACTGGAGATTTCACCCCAATTTCAGCATTGGCAGATCTTCTATCCAGAAAATCAACAAAGAAACATCAGACTTAGTCTGCATTATAGACCAAATGGATCTAATAGGTATTTACAGACATTTCATCTAAGAGCTGCAGAATACACATTCTTTTCCTCAGCACATAGATGATTCTCAAGGATAGACCATATGTTAAGACACAAAACAAATCTTAAAGCACTCAGAAAAATTGAAATAATATCAAGCACCTTATCAGACCACAACAGAATGAAACTAGAAATCCAATACAGAAGGAATTTTGGAAACTATACAAGCACATGGAAACTAAACAATATGCTTTTGAATGATCAGTCAATTAAGAAATTTAGAAGGAAACTGAAAATTTTATTGAAACAAATGATAACAGATGCACAACATACCAAAACCTATAGGATACAGCAAAAGCGGCCAGGTACAGTGGCTCACGCCTGTAATCCCAACACTTTGGGAGGCTGAGGCAGGCAGGTCATGAGGTCAGGAAATTGAGACCATCCTGGCTAACACAGTGAAACCCCGTCTCTACTAAAAATACAAAAAAAATTAGCTGGGCGTGGTGGCGGGCGCCTGTAGTCCCAGCTACTTAGGAGACTGAGGCAGGAGAATGGTGTGAACCCGGGAGGCAGAGCTTGCAGCGAGTCGAAACTGCCTCTGCACTCTGGCCTGGGCAACAGAGCAATACTCTGTCTCATAAAAAAAAAGGAATACAGCAAAAGCAGTACTCAGAGAGAAGTTTATAACTTTATAGGTACTTTATAAGTACCTATATCAAAAAGGGAAAAACTTTAAATAAACACGAAAAAGAGGAAAAACTTTAAATAAACAATCTATGCATCTTTAAAACTAGAAAAGCAAGAGTAAATCAACCCTAAAATTAGTAGAATAAAAGAAATTAAAAAGATAGGAGCAAAAAATAAATGAAATTAAAATAAAAAAACACTACAAAAGATCAATGAAACAAAAAGCTGATTTTTGAAAAGTTAAACAAAATTGACAAGCCATTAATTAGCCAAACTAAGAAAAAAAAGAGAGAGAGAAGATCTAAACAAATAAAATCAAAAAGGAGATGGTATAACTGATAGTACAGAAATTAAAGGAACATTAGTGGCTACTATGAGTAATTATATGCCAATAGATTGGAAAATCTAGAAGAAATGGACAAATTCTTAGATACATACAACCTACCAAGATTGAACCAGAAGAAATTCAAAACCTGAACAGACCAAAAACAAGTAATGAGATTGAAACTGTGATAAAAAGCCTTCCAGTAAAGAAAATCTCAGGACCTGATGGCTTCACCACTGAATTCTATCAAATATTTACAGAAGAACTAATAATGAATTCTACTTAAGCTCTTTCAAAAAGCAGAGGAGGAGGGAATACTTACCAACTCATTCTATAAGGCCAGTATTACCCTGATACCAAAATCAAAGACACGTCAAAAAAGAAAACTACAGTCCAATATTTCAGAAGAATATTAATGCAAAAATCCTCAAGAAAATACTAGCAAACAGAATTCAAAAAATGCATTAGAAGCATCATTCGTCATGACCAAGCAGAATTTATCTCTGGGATGCAAGAATGGCTCAATATATGCAAATCAATCAACATGATACCTCAGAGCAACAGAATGAAGGACCAAAACCATGTGATCAATTCAGTTGGCTGAAAAAATATTTGATAAAATTCAACATCCCTTCATGATAAAAACCCTTTAAAAACTGGGCATAGTAGGAATATACCTCAACATAATAAAAGCCATATATCACAGACCACAGCTAGTAACAAACTGAACAGGGAAAACTGAAAGCTTTTCCTCTAAGATCTTAAACACAACAAGAATGCCCACTGTCACAACTGTTATTCAACATAGTACTGAAAGTCCTAACTAGAGCAATCAGACAAGAGAACTATATAAAAGGCATCACAATTGGAAAAGAAGAATTCAAATTATCCTTGTTTGCTGAAGATATGATCTTATATTTGGAAAAAACTAAACATTCCATAAAAAAATTATTAGAACTAAAAAATTCAGTAGTGTCAGGATAAAAAAAATCAACATCAAAAATCAGTAGCATTTGTATATGCCAACAGTAAAAAATGTGAAAAAGAAATTTTTTAAGTAATCCCCTTTACAATAACCACACATAAAATGACATACCTAGGAATGAACTTAACCAAAGAAGTGAAGGACCTCTACAGTGAAAACTATAAAACACCAATAAAGAAAATTAAAGAGAACACCAAAAAATGGAAAAATATTTCATGTTCATGAATTGGAAGAATCAATATTGTTAAAATGTCTATACTACCAAAACAATCTACAGATTCAATGCAATTCCTATCGAAATGCCAATGACATTCTTCACAAAAATAGAGAAAACAATCCTAAAATGTATATGGAACCACAAAAGACCCAGAATAGCCAAAGTTAGTCTAAGAAAAAAGAACAAAACTAGAGAAATCACATTACCTGACTTCAAATTATACTACAGAGCTGTAGTAACCAAAACAGCATGGTACTGGCATAGAAATAGACACATAGACCAATGGAACAGAATAGAGAACCCAGAAACAAATCCACACACCTACAGTGAATTCATTTGTGACAAAAGTGCCAAGAACATACACTGAAGAAAAGACAGTCTGTTCAATAAATGGTGCTGGGAAAACTGGATAGCTATATGCAAATGAATGAAACTACACCCCTATATTTCTCCATATACAAAATTAAAATAGAAATGGATTAAAGACTTAAGTCTAAGACCTCAAACTATGAAACTAATACAAGAAAACTTTGAGGAAAATCTCCAGGACATTGGTCTGGGCAAAGAATATTGAGTAATACCCCACAAGCACAGGCAACCAAAACAAAAATGGACAAATGGGATCACATCAAGTTAAAAAGCTTCCACACAGCAAAGGATACAATCAAAAAAAGTGGAGAGACAACCCACAGTATGGGAGAAAATATATGCAAACTACCCCTCTGACAAGGGATTAATAACCAGAATGTATAAGGAGCTCAAACAACTCTTTAGGAAAAAAATCTAATAATCTGATCAAAGATGGACAAAAGATTTGAAAACACACCTCTCAAAAGAAGACATACAAATGGCAAACAGACATATAAAAAGGTGCTCAACATCATTGATCATCAGAGAAACACAAATCAAAATTACAATGAAATATAATCTCACCCCAACTAAAATGGCTTATATCCAAAAGACAGAAAATAACAAATGCTGCTGAGGATGTGGACAAAGGGAACCCTTGTATGCTACCAGTGAGAATGTAAATGAGTATAACCACTATGGAGAATAGTTAGTTTGGGGGTTCCTCAAAAAACTAAAAATTGAGCTACCATATGATCCAGGAATTCCACTGCTGAGTATATACCAAAAAGAAAGAAAATCAGTATATCAAAGAGATTATCTGCACTGCTATGTTTGTTGCCACACTGTTTACAATGGCTAATATTTGGAAGCAACCTAACTGTCCATCAACAGACGAATGGATAAAGAAAATGTGGTATTATACAAAATGGAGTACTATTCAGCCATAAAAAAGAATGAGATCCAGTCATTTGCAACAACATGGATGAAACTGAAGATCATTATGTTAAGTGAAATAAGCCAGGCACAGAAAGACAAACATTACATGTTCTCACTTATTTATGGGATCTAAAAATCAAATCAATTGAACTCATAGACATAGAGAGCAGAAGGATGGTTACCAGAGGCTGAAAAGGGTAGTAGAGGGTTGGGTGGGGGGCAGGTGGAGATGGTTAACAGGTACCAAAAAATTAGAAAGAATGAATAAGACCTACCATTTGACAGCACAATAGGGTAACTATAGACAATAACAACTTAATTGTATATTTTTAAGTAACTTAAAGAGTGTAATAGGATTGTTTGTAACTCAAAGGATAAATGCTTGAGGGGATGGATATCCCATTCTCCATATGTGCTTATTTCACATTGCATGCCTGTATCAAAACATCTCATGTACCCCATAAATATATACACCTACAATATACCCACACACATTTTAAAAGGTAAAAGTAAATAAAAAGAATTAGCTATTGTCATTTCCATTTTATGAATAAAACAATGGGAGCAGAGGACAAATGAAACTATACTTATTCAATGCCACACATTTTATACATGATAGAGATGCTAAATCAAACCTGACTTAAAAACCCAGGTTCTTCATCACCAGGGTATATTGCTTCCTTTAGGTAACTCACAGGAAGTTTTGTAACTCTTTTTGTTGGGTGCTTTAAGAAGTCATCACATTATCTGACTTCAAACTCTGCTGCAAGGCTACAGTGACCAAAACAGCATGGCATTGGTACAAAACAGACATATAGACCAATGGAACAGAAAAGAAAGCCCAGAAATAATGCTGCACACCTACAACCATCTGATCTTCAACAAAGTTGACAAAAACAAGCAATGGGGAAAGGGCTCCCTATTCAATAAATAGTGCTGAGATAACTGGCTAGCCACATGTAGAAGATTGCAACTGGACCCCTTCCTTACACCACATACAAAAATCAACTCAAGATGGATAAAAGACTTAAATGTAAAACCTAAAACTGTAAAAACTCTAGAAGTTAACCTAGAAAATACCTTTCTTGACATAGGACTGGCAAAGATTTCATGATGAAGATGCCAAAAGCAATTGCAACAAAAACACAAATTAACAAATGGGAGCTAATTAAACTAAAGATCTTCTGCACAGCAAAAGAAACTATCAACTGAGTAAACAGACAATCTAAAGAATGAGAGAAAATATTTGCAAACTATGCATTTGATACAGGTCTAATATCCAGCATCTACAAGGAACCTAAACAAATTAACAACCAAACACAAACAATCCTATTAAAAGGAGGGCAAAAGACATGAACAGACACTTTGCAAAAGAAGACATACATATAGCCAACAAGCATATGAAAAAATGTTCAACATCACTGATCATTAGAGAAATGCAAATCAAAACCACAATAAGATACATCTCACACCAGTCAGAATGGCTATTACTAAAAAGTAAAAAAATAACATACTGGTGAGGTTGTGGAGAAAAGGGAATGCTTACACACTGCAGGTGGGAATGTAAATACATTCCGCCATGTGAAAAGCAGTGTGGTAATTTCTCAAAGAACTTAAAACATAATTATTATTTGACCCAGCAATTCCATTATGGGATATATACCCAAAGAAATATAAATTGTTATACCATAAAGAAACATGCACACAGATGTTCACTGCCGCACTACTCACAATAGCAAAGACATGGAATCAACCTAAATGCTTATCAATGGTAGAACTGATAAAGAAAATGTGGTGTATATTTTATATACACCATGGAATACTATGCAGCTTTAAAAAAAAATGAGATCATGTCCTTTGCAGAAACAAGGATGGAGGTGAAGGCTATTATCCTAAATGAACTAACACAGGAACAGAAAACCAAATACTGTGTGTTCTCATTTATAAGTGGGAGCTAAATATTGAGTACATATAGACATAAAGAAGGGAACAACAGACATTAAGGCCTACTTGAGGGTAGAGGCTGTGAGGAGGGTGAGGATCAAAAAACTACCTATTGGGTACTACTATGCTTATTAACCGGGTGATGAAACAATCTGTACACCAAACCTCCATGGCATGCAATTTACCTATCTAACAAACTTGCACATGTACTGAACCTAAAACAAAAGTAAAAAAAGGAATCAATATAAATGCAATGTTTTTGAAACTCATAGAAAACAATCAGAGCTCATATGAATAATGATAATTTACATGTGTATAATCATTTACTAAACTTTCCTGCACATTCTTTTTTTGGAACATCATTGTATGAAACTCGGAGTTTACAATCTGTGTGTTATTTTTAAGCTTCCTTAAAGTTAACACACCCAGAAAAGTGTTTAGGTTAAATTCTACAGAGCAAGTCCAGGGCTTTTCACTGGGAACTATGTTGCCCTAACAACATGTGCTTCACATAACCTCCAACTGGTGACCACACACAATCATGAGCATACTCTTAAAAGACTAATCAGGAGCTTCTAATTTTGAGCCCAGAGAAGTTTAATTGTAGAAAGTTTATTGTTTATTGTGACCTCATTACTCACCTACTAAGATTTCAGAAGTTTGACTATAGATGGATAATTGCCAGCCCAATACTTTGTTTTCTCTTATGTGAATTTGGCCATTTTAAGAACAGGAATAGCTGGGCGCAGTGGCTCACGCCTGTAATCCCAGCACTTTGGGAGGCCGAGGTGGGCGGATCACCTGAGGTCAGGAGTTCAAGGCCAGCCTGGCCAACATCTACAAAATTAGCCGGGCATAGTGGTGCACACCTGTAGTCCCAGTTACTCAAGAGGCTGAGGCAGGAGAATTGCTTGAACCTGGGAGGTGGAGGTTACGGTGAGCCGGGATTACACCACTGCACTCCAGCCTGGGTGACAAGAGCGAGACTCCATCTCAAAAAAAAAAAAAAAAAAACCAAGAATAAAAACCAAAAGTTGTCATTGCTTCCTACAGAAGGATCAGGTAAGTTCAGGCATTCACCCACTCATCCTGTGTCCGGAATTGCTGGGTTCTTGGTCTCACTGACTTCAAGAATGAAGCTGTGGACCCTCGCGGTGAGTGTTACAGTTCTTAAAGGCGGCGTGTCTGGAGTTTGTTCTTTCTGATGTTCGGATGTGTTCGGAGTTTCTTCCTTTTGGTGGGTTCGTGGTCTCGCTGGCTCAGGAGTGAAGCTGCAGACCTTCGCAGTGAGTGTTACAGCTCATAAAAGCAGTGTGGACCCAAAGAGTGAGCAGTAGCAAGATTTACTGCAAAGAGCAAAAGAACAAACCTTCCACAGTGTGGAAGGGGACCCCAGCAGGTTGCCACTGCTGGCTCGGGCAGCCTGCTTTTATTCTCTTATCTGGCCCCACCCACATCCTGCTGATTGGTAGAGCCGAGTGGTCTGTTTTGACAGGGCACTGATTGGTGCATTTACAATCCCTGAACTGGACACAAAGGTTCTCCACCTTCCCCACTAGATTGGCTAGATACAGAGTGTTGACACAAAGGTTCTCTAAGTCCCCACCAGAGTAGCTAGATACAGAGTGTCCATTGGTGCATTCACAAACCCTGAGCTAGACACAGGGTGCTGATTGGTGTGTTTACAAACCTTGAGCTAGATACAGAGTGCCTATTGGTGTATCTACAATCCCTGAGCTAGACATAAAGGTTCTCCAAGGCCCCACCAGAGTACCTAGATACAGAATGTTGATTGGTGCAGTCACAAACCCTGAGCTAGACACAGGGTGCTGATTGGTGTGTTTACAAACCTTGAGCTAGATACAGAGTGCCAATTGGTGTATTTACAATCCCTGAGCTAGACATAAAGGTTCTCCAGGTCACCACCAGACTCAGGAGCCCAGCTGGCTTCACCCAGTGGATCCCGCACCGGGGCTGCAGGTGGAGCTGCCTGCCAGTCCCGCGCCACCGTGCCCCCGCACTCCTCAGCCCTTGGGTGGTCGATGGGACTGGGCGCCATGGAGCAGGGGGTGGCGCTCATCCGGGAGGCTCCGGCCGCACAGGAGCCCACGGAGTGGGTGGGAGGCTCAGGCATGGGGGGCTGCAGGTCCCGAGCCCTGCCCCACGGGAAGGCAGCTAAGGTCCAGAGAGAAATCGAGTGCAGCCCTGGTGGGCTGGCACTGCTGGGGGACCCAGTACACCCTCTGCAGCCGCTGGCCCGGGTGCTAAGCCCCTCATTGCCCGGGGCCGATAGGGCCTGCCGGCTGCTCCGAGTGCGGAGCCCGCCAAGCCCACGCCCACCCGGAACTCCAGCTGGCCCGCAAACGCCGCGCGTGCAGCCCTGGTTCCCGCTGGCGCCTCTCCCTCCACACGTCCCTGCAAGCTGAGGGAGCCGGCTCCGGCCTTGGCCAGCTCAGAAAGGGGCTCCCACAGTGCAGCGGTGGGCTGAAGGGCTCCTCAAGTGCCGCCAAAGTGGGAGCCCAGGCAGAGGAGGCGCCGAGAACGAGCGAGGGCTGTGAGGACTGCCAGCACGCTGTCACCTCTCAATCCCATCCTCAACAAATGTGTATGTAACCTTACTTTTTTTTGCAAACAGGGGAAGGAATATCTTGACATTATTCTTTGTATCTAAGGAAACGCAAATAATTGGTGTTTTTAGTTTGATGTGGCAATCTAATTGGAAGGGCTTCAACTAAATGTTTACAGTTATATTTTCTGTGGGTGCTTACTATTTTGTATCTTATACCTAATATACTGTAACAAAATTATCCATCAATGTCTACGGTCATTCTAAATAATCAGTGAAATCAATGGCATGCATGTAGGTCAATCAAAAAATCGACTGGGCCATCTACTCATAATTTGATTGCACTGTACTTGACTAGCTGTATCTGAAATAACCTACATGTTACAAAATAATCATATCAGCAATTCAGTACTTATTGGGCCAGCCAAAGTTAAAAAAAAGCAGGTTTATTTTATGTCACATTCAAGTTACTTGCTTGCAACTAGACTTTAAAATATAATTTTAAAACACTTTATTTAATAGAAGTATACTTTCCACTGTAATGAATACATCTTGTAAAAATTCAGACAATACAAAAGCACATAAAGTATCAAGTCATCTCATAATACTAACCTTGTTTCTAGTTTCCTAGGCAAATCTCACTTTAACCTTGTAAAGTTTGCTTTTTTAAAGCATCTTCTTTTAAAGTTCTTAAACAATTATATAATCTCAAAATTGTAAATGTAAAAATCAGTAAATTGTTATCTCTGGATGCAGCAATACTTGTCGAGAGGGGGAAAAAACAAATTCTCTCATTTAACAATAAGTAAATATTGTTTACTCTTGCCTCTCAAACACATGTGTTTATTATTTATAAATTCAATTATTGTATGTCTATTCGATATTACAAAAAGTTATTCTTTTTAAGCATTCTTTTCCATGATCATTCATTTAAATTTTTAAATTAAATAATACATTTTAAAAAATTTACCCATAAGAAAATAACTGCTGTAATAAAATATAGAAAGTACATGTTCCAACTCTCTTAAGTTGCTGGACTTACTTTCAAGAGATTATCAGTGGTTCTCAAACTTAAAGTGTGAATTAGAATCACTTGTCAAAACACAGACTGCTGGGCTCCACCTCTGATCTTTCTGAATTAGTAGGTCTGGACTGAGACTCACGAATTCGTATTTTGAATAAGTTCCCAGGTAATCATGGTGGGTCTGATCCAGTGATCACATTTTGAAAACCACTATATAAAAGCATAAATATCACTTCAGAACTCATTTTCTAACTGTTACTGAATCTCGATTTTAATGGACAATTTAGTGCTATGTATATAGAAGTTTTCTGTAAATGCTATTAACTAATCAGTTCTAAAACTAGGTATAAAGCAAACTGGAGTACAAACCTACCAGCTACTAAATAATTCACATTTTCCCCTAGTATGCCAATTGAGAAAATCTTGGCCTGGGTTTCAGAGAGCACAGGTGCATAAAATAGCCTTTGTTATTTTATTTTATTTACTGACAATAACAATTTCAGTCATCCTGATACAGGCAATATAACAGTAAAATAAAATATGCTTAATGAAACATGAATGAACTTGTTGATTCCAGGATTTTTAAAGCAATGTTTTGATAATAGTAGATTGTTATTTTTAAAACAAATGAAATCACAGCTTGATTTTTTAGTTTCATCATAACATTAAGCTCATTTGCCAAAATCTGGAATGTGTATATTAGGTTGTTTCTTTCACCCTGTGTTACTAATTTAAGCAACATGTTTCTTCTGTTTTTCACCCAACACTACGATCAATGTAATCAATTAATTAATTAAAGGAGATGTTTAAGTTCTTTCCCATAGTCGCACCAGTTCTACCAGATTCTGAATGCTACTTAAAATATCAATGAAACTGGAAGAAAATAGTTAATAATTATTCTTTTCCTTTGACAATATGTTATGGTATTCATATGACTCCCTCTGGTGGCAAATGTAGCATGGAATGTTAATCTTTTTCAAGGAATATGCATGTGTACATTTCCTTTCATATAAAGCCAGTGATTCTTTCCTTCCTGTTGTCTTCTCTATATTAATGCTCTCAATATCTGATGTGACCATTGGAAGCTGTCAAAAATGCCCAATTCAGTCAGTATGGAGGTAGACTAAATTTCTGTCAAAAATCATCCTGGAAAATTGTGTCAAATAGTTTATGCATCCTTTTAACAATGAAACCAATACTAAAACAATTAATTAAAGAAAATGACTTCCCAAAATCAAACCTCAAACCCTCTAACTATAGTTAATGACTTCTCAAAATCAAATCTCAAACCCTCTAACTATAGTTAATGACTTCCCAAAATCAAATCTCAAACCCTCTAACTATAGTTAATTCATAGTCACATATAAACTTAGTCTAAGAAAACCTAAGTGTCTGCATCAAAAAATATCCTCAGAGTTTCAGACAAATAAAAGTCAATCAGAGATAAATTTGAATTTTACCTCTGCCACCTGGTGAATGGGTAACCTAAGTCAGATTATCTAACTTTTGTGAGATATGATTTTCATATCCATAAAATTGGATAATGCCTACTTTATGAACTTATTATAATGATTAAACAAGACAATGTTTTTAAAGGCCCATCACTGTGTCTAACATTTAGTAAAACACTCACTATTATTATAGTTATTACTTTAATTAACAAATTGAAGCAAAGGGAATTAGAAAAAAGAGTTAGGAAATTGAGACCTTCCAAGCTCACCCCACCACCAGGCCAGCCCCCATGGACTCAGGGTTCAAGAACCACCCCTGTGCCATGTCAGCCTCCATATCTTCAGGGATCCAGGCTTCAGACAGCTCCTGTGGACACAAGCTTCAGGCCCACCCCATGGGCCCAGGGGACATGACTACCCCAGTGGACCCCAGAACCAGGTTAGCTGCTATGGACCCAGGAGCCAGACCTGCCCTAGTAAAAGGCTCCAAGCACACCCCAGTAGACAAGCTCCAGGCCTGACCCCACAGACCCAGGCACCAGGCCAGCTCCTGTGGACCCAAGCTCCAGGTCCATCCACCTGGATCAGCTGATCTGTATCAGATTAGCCTGCCCAAAACCCTAGCAGCATAAACCTGCTGCCCATGGACCCAACCCATAGACTCTGCCAGACAGTCTTTCCCAGAACCTCTGGATAAGATGACTAGTGAAGGGCTTTACCTGCCAAAGCCAGTCTACAAAGATTGAAATAGGTCTCTACTTGTTCAAATATGCAGTCACCAACATATGGCCAAAAGGATCATGAGTAATCAGGGAAACATGATGCCACCAAGGGAATAAATTAAAGCATCAGTAGCTGGCCCTAAAGAAATGTAGATCTGTGAACTGCCTAACAAAAAACTCAAAACTCAAAATAATTGTAAAGAAGCTCAGAAGGCTGCAAGAAAACAGTTCAAAGCTAAATGAAATCAGGAAAACAATACATGAACAATACATGAAATAAGTTCATCAGAGATAGAAGCCATAAAAAGAACAAAACAGAAATTCTGAAGCTGAAGAACACAGTGACTAAACTGACACATTCCATGGAGAGTTTCAACAGCAGGCTCGGTCAGACAAAAGAAAGAATCAGTGAACTTGAAGACTTGGCATTTGAAATTGCCCAGATTGAGGCAAAAAGAATGAAAGAAGAGAGAGGAAAGCCTACAAGATTTATAGGACACCATCAAGCAAAACAATATATGAGCAAAGAAAGGGGCAAAAAGCTTACTCATTTATTTTTTTAAAATAGACAGATAAAGTTGTATGTATTTTTTGTGTACAATATGTTTTGAAATATATTTACATTGTGGAATGACTAAATTCAGCTAATTAACATATGGATTACCTCAGAGAGTTCATCATTTTCATGATGAGAACACAATACAGTTACTCTCTTAGCATTTTTCAAGAATACAATGTATTATTAACAATAGCCACTGAATTAGTTCTTTTTCATGCTGCTGATAAAGACATACCTGAGACTGGGCAATTTACAAAAGAGAGAGGTTTATTGGACTTACAGCTCCACATGGCTGAGGAGGCCTAGCAATGGTGGTGGAAGGCAAGGAGGAGCAAGTCACATCTTACATGGATGGCAGCAGGCAAAGAGAGAGCTTATGCAGGGAAACTCCCATTTTTAAAACCATCAGATCTCATGAGGCCTGTTCACTATCATGAGAACAGCACAGGAAAGACCCAACCCCATGATTCAATCATCTCCCACCAGGTCACTCCCACAACATGTGGGAATTATGGGAGCTACAAAATGAGATTTGTGTGGGGACACAGAGCTAAACCGTATCAGTCACCATGTTTTCTAACAGATACCTTGAATTTATTCTTCCTGTGTAAATAAAATTTTGTATCCTTTGACCGATATCTCCAACACTTTTATCTCCCAACCACAAAAGCCTTTGGTAACCGTCATTCTACTCTGTACTTCTATGAGAGCAACTCTTTTAATTCCATATATGAGTGAGACTATTCACTGTTAGTCTTTCTCTGGTTGGCTTATTTCACTTTGCATCATGTCCTCCATGTTCACCCATGTTGTAACAAAAGGCAGGATATCCTTATTTTTTTACAGCTGAATAGTATTCCATGTGTATATACACCACACTTTATTCATTCTTCCATTGATGAACACTTAGGTTGATGATTCCATATCTTGGCTATTGTAAATAGTGCTGCAATAAACATGAGAGTGCAGATATGTCTTCAACTTACTGATTTCGTTTCCTTTGGAATTATACCCAGAAGTGGGATTGCTAAATCATATGGTAGTTCTATTTTTAATTTTTTGAGGAACGTCCATAGTTTCCTTAATGGCTGCACTAATTTACATTCCCACCAGCAGTGTACAAGTGCTTTCTTTTCTCCACATCTTCACCAGCACTTATTTTTTAAATCTTTTTGATAATAGTCATTTTAACAGGTGTGAGGTGACATCTCCTTGCAGCTTAAAGTTGTATTTCTCTGTGACATTGAACATTTTCTCACTTACCAGTTGCCCATTTGCATGTCTTCATCTGAAAAATATCTTTTCAGGTCCTTTGCCCTTTTTTGTTTGTTTGTTTTTTGAGATGTAGTCTCACTCTGTCTCCCAGGCTGGAGTGCAGTGGCATGCTCTCGGCTCACTGCAACCTCTGCCTCCCAAGTTCAAGCGATTCTCCTGCCTCAGCCTCCTGAGTAGCTGGGACTACTGGCGCCCGCCACCACACCTGGCTAATTTTTATATTTTTAGTAGAGACGGGGTTTCACCATATTGGCCAGGCTGATCTTCAACTCCTGACCTTGTGATCCACCCGCCTCAGCCTCCCAAAGTGCTGGGATCACAGGCGTGAGACACCGCACCCGGCCTTGCCTATTTTTTAAATCAGGTTACTTGTGTTCTTGCTATTGAGTTGTTTGTGAGCTCCTTATATATTTAGTACATTAACCCCTTACCAGATGTACAGTTTATAAATATTTCCTCCCATTCTGTATAGTGTCTCTTCATTCTGTCGATTGCTTCCTTTGCTGTACAAAAGATACTTAGTTTCAGGTAATCTCATTTGTCTATTTCTGCTTTTGTTGTCTGTGTTTTTGGAGGTCATAAACATAAAGTCATTGTCCATACCAACGTCATGGGGTCTTTCCACTATGTTTTCTTCTATTAGTTTTGTATTTTCAGGTCTTACATTTAAGTCTTTAATCTATTTTGAGTTGATTTTTGTATTCAGTGTGAGATAAGGTTCTAATTTCATTCTTCTGCATGTGGATATTTAGTTTTCCAAACACAATTTACATGAAAAATATAGGCAAAATTTATTTGTCAATAAATAAATTTTTCACTAAAAAAATGAAGAAAATTGAGACTTCTGCCTGATTTTTGTCTGAACCTTTCAGAGCAACTACTTTAGATTAGGTAAATGTGTGAGGTTCAGGTCAGAGTAAGCCCACAAAAGTGAAGAATGGCATTCTTGAATCAACTTCCCAAGTGATTTGCCAAGTGTAGTTTCATACACATATGAAGCTAATCTGTTGTTTAAGAGTGTGGTGTTTTAATACATTAACAAAGCACATCTAACTGCAACAGTGGAATATCAGAGATCTCTCCTTTCATTCAACTTGCCTATAATTCTATAGTTAAGTCAATATGTGCATAATTGTTTCTGAGCTAAGAGGTAATAATTGATTTTTTATTAATTCACTTTTTATTGATTGACTGTGATGTCTGTGTGCACATCTTGATTGATGATGTCTGTGTGCACATCTGTGTTAACAGTTTTGATTGGTCACTTAATATAAGTTACTTGGTCTGCCTCATTTCTCTGTTTGTTTTGTGAACATGTTAATTTTTTGAGAGTTAATGGAATATATGCATGGCCACAAATGTGTATGTTTAAGGATTTTTTAGTTGTTACAAACTTCATTTAGTAAGGTAGACATTTTACATTGTGAATTGTTTAACCTTTCTTCCAAGAAAAAGTGATGCTAATATAGATTGGTCAGGGACAAGAGCATTATAGTTGGGCCATAGTGCTAAGGACATGATCTGTCTTTCATCTGGGATTCTGTTTCTGCTTCTCAATGTCACTTTGTCTTTTTGGATGCCTGCCAATGCAGCTGAAGTAAGAGGGACCAGGGCTGCCCCATTACCTCTTGAGCCATTATCATCACTCTTTCCCCTAGCACTGTCTTTTTTTGTTTTTGTGTCTGTATTTGTTGTGTTTTGTCTTGTTTTTGCCATCAAAGAAGTGCAATCCAATATATAAATATGAATTTAGAGGGAAGCTACTTGGCTTGCTTTGTCTCCTGCTCAGATTAAAACCAAGATGTCAGCCAGTAATGCAAGTGTCCTTTGCCTGACCATGGCTCTGTGCAGATATTCTTATTGACAAACTTGAGGGGAGAATTGGAATGTATTCCTGGGCTTCTGTGTACAAGTTAAGAAAAGAAATTAAGAAAGAATGAGAAGAAATAGCACTCTGTGCTTTTCAACCAATATAAGTAAATTATCTAACAGTATAAAGTAACTTCACAGTAATATAGTCAGCTTCCCAAAGTTAACCATTTCTGGACCTAGCCAAAATTGATAGTCCACTGGCCAAAAAAATCAGCAAAAGGACATTACCAGGGGTGCTTTACATCTTTTACATATATTCAATGACAGAATTATTTTTTATTCCTCCACTCCATTGCTCTACATATATATTCACCAAGCCCTCTTGCCTTGCCTGTCTTCAAAACACCTCTCAAATGTATTCCACATAGGAATTATCATCAATAATTTCTCCCTTTCCTGTACTCTGTCTTGCATAGAATAAATTAATTAAAATTAAAAAGTCAAATCTTTTCATCATAATTTCCAGACTCCCCACAATCTACCTGACATTACCCAATCACTCTCAACTCATATTCTACCTTCTTCAATATCTGTCCTCTCTTTTTCATGAACTTATCTGCCCAACTGTTTTTCCTCCCTACTAAGGAAGTTAAAGTCCTTATTCCTACTTCATCCCCTCTCCTAAAAATTTGTTAGAATATAGGCATTACATTCTACTCTCAAGAAAGAGGAGGGCTACTTCTCAATTATAGTACAAGAGGGTAAAGTATTTAAAAGGATTGAAAAATTACACAAATATGAAGATAGTTCTTTTGGGATTTCTTCTTACCAGGAGACTGGGAAAGTGAGGGCTCCAACCTGTCCCTCTGTTTCCACACAGCTAGGAAGATAGGCATGAAAATCTTTTCCCTCCCCCACACTACACCTGGGCATTGAGGCAAATTCTTTGCCTCTTACACACTCTGCTGTTTCTTTCTTTTTAGAAAAATTTTGGAGAAGCCAAGATGGCAGACTAGAAATAGCTGTGATCAGAGGTTCCCACCAAGAAGAATGAAAACAGTGAATGAATTCTGCACTTTCAGCTGAGGAATCCAGGTTCTCCTATTTTGACTGACTAGGTGGTTGGCATGACCCATGGAAAGTGAGGTAAAGCCCAGGAGCCACGTGGGGCAAGGGGAGCTCCTCCCCAAACCAAGGGAGGTGGTGAATGATTGTGCTATCCCTCCCAGGAAACCATGCTTTTTCCATGGATCTGTGCAATCTGTGGATCAGGTTATCCCCTCGTGAGCCCATGCCACCAGGGCCTTGGGTCCCAAGAACAGAGCTGTGCAGATTCTCAGTAGCCACTTGGCTGCAGACTGCCTAAGACTACCAAGATCCTGGAGGAAGGGGCGGCTGCCATCACTGCCGCCACCTGCTGCCTGAGATGACTGAGCTCCGGGGAGGAGGGGCAACAGCCATCAGTGCAGTGCCAATCTGACCAATAATGAGTTCTGAAATTGAGGTAGTAATAAATAGCCTACCAAGCAAAAAAAAAAAAAAAAGCCCAGGACCAGACGGATTTATAGCTGAATTCTACCAGAGATACAAAGAGGAGCTGGTACCACTTCTTCGAGACTATTCAAACAATTGAAAAGGAAGAACTCCTCCCTGACTCATTTTATGAGGCCAGTATCATCCTGATACCAAAACCTGGCAGAGATACAACAAAAAAAGAAAGCTTCAGGCCAATATCCCTGGTGAACAACTATGTAAAAATCCTCAATAAAATATTGGTGAACTGAATCCAGCAGCATATCATAAAGCTTATCCATCATGATCAAGTCAGCTTCATTCCTGTGATGCAAGGCTGGTTCAACATACACAAATCAATAAATGTAATTTATCACATAAAAAGAAGTAGGGACAAAAAACACATGATTGTCTCAATAAATGCAGAAAATGCCTTCAATAAAATTCAACATCCCTTCATATTAAAGACTCTCAATAAACTAGGTATTGATGGAACATACCTCAAAATAATATGAGCCATTTATGACAAACCCACAGCCAATATCACACTGAATGGGCAAAAATTGGAAGCATTCCCCCTGAGAACCAGCACAAGACAAGGATGCCCTTTCTCACCACTCCCATTCAACATGGTATTGGAAGTTCTGGCAAGCGCAATCAGGCAAGAGAAAGAAATAAAGGGTATTCAAACAGGAATAGAGGAATTCAAACTGTCTCTGTTTGCAGATGACATGATCCTATATCTAGAAAACCCCATCGTCTCAGCCCAAGAAAAGCTTTTTAAGCTGATAAGCAACTTCAACAAAGTCTCAGGATACAAAATCAATGTGCAAAAATCACAAGCATTCATAAACACCAACAACAGACAAGCAGAGAGCCAAATCACAAATGAATTCCTATTAACAATTGCTACAAAGAGAATAAAATACCTAGGAATACATCTAACAAGGGAAGTAAAGGAACTCTTCAAAGAGAGCTACAAACTACTACTCAAGGAAATCATAGAGGACACAAACAAATAGAAAAACATTCCATGCTCATGGATAGGAAGAATCAGTATTGTGAAAATGGCCATACTGTTCAAAGTAATTTATAGATTCAGTGCTATTCCCATTATATTACCATCGATATTCTTCACAGAATTAGAAAAAACTAGTTTAAAACTCGTATGGAAACAAAACAGAGCCCTTATTAGCCAAGACAAACCTAAGCAAAAAGAACAAAGTGGGAGGTATCAGGCTACCCAACTTCAAACTATACTACAAGGCTACTGTAACCAAAACAGCATGGTACTGGTACAAAAATAGACATACAGACCGATGGAACAGAATAGAGAGCTCAGAAATAAGACTGCACATCTACAATTCAAGAAACCTGACAACAACAAGCAATGGGGAAAGGATTCCCCATTTAATAAATGGTGCTGGAGAACTGGCTAGCCATATGCAGAAAATTGAAACTGTACCCCTTCCTTATATCTTATACAAAAATTAACTCAAAATGGATTAAAGACTTAAATGTAAAACCCAACACTATGGAAGCCCTAGAAGAAAATCTAGGCAAGACCATTCAAGACTTAGGCACAAACAAAGATTTCATGATGAAAACGTCAAAAGCAATTGCAACAAAAGCCAAAATTAACAAATGGTATCTAATTAAACTAAAGAGCTTCTGCACAGCAAAAGAAACTATCATCAGAGTGAAAAGACAACCTATAGAATAGGAGAAAGTTTTTGGAATCTATCCATCTGACAAAGGTCTAATATCCAGAATCCACAATGAACTTAAACAAATACACAAGAAAAAAACAACCTCATTAAAGAGTGGGCAAAGGATATGAACAGACACCTCTCAAAAAAAAAAAGACATTTATGCAGCCAACAAACATATGATAATAAGCTGATCTTTAGAGAAACGCAAATCAAAGCCACAGTAAGATGCCATCTCATACCAGTCAGAATGGTGATTATTAAAAAATCAAGAAACAACAGATGCTGGCGAGGCTGTGGAGAAATAGGAATGCTTTGACACTGTTGGTGGGAACGTAAAGTAGTTCAACCGTTGTGGAAGGAGTGTCAAAATTTCTCAAAGACCTAGAACCAGAAATACCATTTGACCCAGAAATCCCATTTCTGGGTATATACCCAAAGGAATATAAATCATGCCGTTATAAAGATACATGCAGACATATGTTTATTGAAGCACTGTTCACAATAGCAAAGACATGGAACCAACGCAAATGCCCATCAATGATAGCCTGGATAAAGAAAAGGTGGTACATATACACCATGAAATACTATGCAGCCATAAAAAGGAACGAGATCATATCCTTCACAGGGACATGGATGGAGCTGGAGGCCACCATCCTTAGCAAACTAATGCAGGAACAGAAAACCAAACACTGCATATTCTCACTTATAAGTGGGAGTTGAACAACGAGAACACATGGACACAGGGAGGGGAACAACACACACAGGGGCCTGTCAGGGGTGGAGAGTGGGGGAAGGGAGAGCATCAGGAAAAATAGCTAATACTTGCTGGGCTTACAACCTGAATGATGGGCTGATAGGTACAGCAAACCACATGGCACATGTTTACCTATATAACAAACCCACATATCCTGCACATGTATCCCAGAACTTAAAATAAAATTTTAAATTCAGAGGGACCTGTGCAGGTTTGTCATATAGGTAAATTGTGTCGCGGAGGTTTTGTGTACAGATTGTTTCAACACCCAGGTAACATGCATAGTACCCTGCAGGTGGTTTTTTGATCCTCACCCTCCTCCCACCCTTCACCCTCAAGTAGGCCCTGGTGTCTGCTGTTCCCTTCTTTGTGTCCATATGTACTCAATGTTTAGTTCCCGCTTATAAATGAGAACATGTGGTGTTTGATTTTCTGTTCTTGTGTTTGTTTAGGATAATGGCCTCCAACTCCATCCATGCTTCTGCAAAGGACATGATCTCATTCTTTTTATGGCTGCGTAGTATCCTGTGGTGTCCATATACCATATTTTCTTTATCAATTCTGCCATTGATGGTCATTTAGGTTGATTCCTTGTCTTTACTAATGTGAATAGTCACTCTGCTGTTCCCTGCTGGCACACAACCACACCAGAGTTGTAGATAGTCTTAGAGTCCAGCCTCCCAGGGTGTAGCTCACTGGATTTCTATATTGGGGATTAACGTTAAAGCCTCCGCTTATCAAGGTCAGCCTGCTTTACTTCTGTTGACCAATCTTTGATTGCTCCTTTGAAGATCTTGAGGGTGAGGTGGTTTGAAGTAGGATTCAGATATACCTTTGTACTAGAAAAAATATTTTTTTAGTTTTTTAAGTTGTCACTGTTTTCATTTTTAAGGTTTAATTATTTTAAAAATACCATGTGTACATGGTAAAAAAAATTTAATAGGTAAATATTCCTCCTTCCCAAGTCCTGTCTTCAGAAATGTCTGTTAACTATATTTTACTATCACAATAATACCGTCTCTCAGTCTATGAATGGGGCTGTTATCACAGCCTAATCTGATGGCAGATAACAGATGGGAAGACAGGCAGGTGGCCTCAAACAGATTATCACAGGCAGCAAATGTCCAGCTCTAATTTTGGGGAGGGCTTTAAATTTTAGAAAACCTGAAAATGAGATATAAGGCTGACAGCCCAAAGATAAGCAGGACACAAGGAGAGCTTGGTACCAAAGCAAAAGGCAGATAACAGTTATCAGAATAAGGGGCCAAAACTAGACCAACCACACAGATGGGCTGACCTTGAACCCCTCTACTACCAGCCAAGTACTCCTTAAATTCCCCTACAGCATAAATATGATTGTTTCCACACCAAGGATCGAGGCTAAGAGAGCTAAGTCTCAGAGATTAGAGAATCACAGTAGAAGGAAGACAGGCAGAGCATCATGGGAAGAGTCATTTCTGCATTAACACATGGCTCCTACACATTTCCTTTTTGTGTGGGTGTTTGCCTTATCTGTCAATTCAACTATGAAGTCCTTGAAGATAAATACCGAGGTTTTTTCCTACGTTTGTACACAACAATAAATTGTTAAATTTACTTCTCTTCTGTGTACAGTCCACTGTTTTGAGTGATGTGAGAATTTCACATATCGAAAAAAAAGTTTATTTTCTTACCTTTCCATTAGAAGTTTGTTGGCCTTCTGAAGTGGGATAATTCCCCAAGGAAGTTAAAAGTGTTTCTGAAAAGTAAAATTAAATTATATTTCTGCTATATGCACATTCTACCTACAAGTTGCCAAAAGCAATCAGATTATTTGGACTTAAGCATCAGAATCAAACTGAACTCTTTATTTTGACCTTAGGCCAAAATGCTAATAGTATGATTAAGTGATTGTTTAGAGTAAAACATAGTCAATTCTGGGAAGTTCAGTATGATTAATATCTGATTGCTCTTTGCAATTTTGAATCCTTTTCTGGGATTTTTATGTATAGTGTGATTGGATACACAAGAACAATCGGATAACACCCAGTCCGATATCAACCTCCAGGGAACCAACTGGAACACACACACACCCACACACAAAGTTCCATGGAGCCTAAATACCCTCCAAGTGTACTGCATCCTTCAGAGGTATATGGGCTTTAATGCCTAAATTATTAGGACTGTTGCTCAGCGAAGCAGTCCTGCTACTGTATCCCTTTCTGATCTCATCTCCTATTATTCTCCCATCTGGCTCACTCCACTCCCACCTCAAACAGGCCAGACATACTACTAACCCCTTAAGCTGTGGGATTGCCTTTTCCCTCTATCGGAGCACTCTTCCTTCAGATATCCTCATGGCTCATTCTGTCAAGTTCACTTCTTTTGTGCACTTGCTTGGAGCCATCTCCCATGACCACAGAGCAATCTATTATTTTCTTTTATAACATGTATGACAATTTGTATATGTGATTGTATTTATTATTTAATTTTTTGTTTAATGGAAAATTTTGTGAAGGAAGAGACTTTGTTTTATTCCCCACTGTCTATTTAACAAATAGCCATTAAGTCTAACTATGTACCAAGTACCATTATAATGGACACAGTTGTGAAGAGAGAATTTACAGTCTAGAAGAGTGAGAGGGACATAGATAACACACAAAAATAATAACATGTTATTTCAAATGGTAATCAAGACTTTGAGGAATGTAGAACATGGACATATGATAAACAGTGACTAATGGTTTAAGGGCTCATTAAAATTGGCTGGTCAGGGAAGGCCTCTCTCATTGGATTGAGATAGGAATTATATGGTGGAGTCCATCGTGAGAGGATCTGGTGGCTGAACACTCCAAAAAGAGGAAATAGAAAGTGCAAAGGACCAAAACTAGGAAAAGTTTTAACATAAGGTGTCACAAAGAAATTCATTGTGTCCAGGGGTTTGTGAATGACAGGGATGACATTGAATGGCAATGACAGAAAGGGGCCAGATCATACAGAGCCTTGTAGATCATGCTAAGGCATTAGATTACTTTGCCTTTTATGTGTAGAATAGTTTATAGGAGAGCAAGAGTGGAGGCAGCCGGAGGTTTGCCCTGATAGATATAAGAGATGATGATGACTGGAATCAGGGTGGTTGTAGCCAGAGAGAAGTGGGGAAAAGTCGAAATACAGATTAAAGGTGAAATTGATGAGACTTTTCAATGGATTGGATATATGCAATAAGGGGAAAAAGGGAATCAGGGATGACTCCTGGACTTGAACTGGACCTATTTAGTTGGCAGATGTGAATTCTATTTACTAAGGCATATATTCAGTGCTTTGCACAAATAAGTGCTCAATAGCTATTGAATACATGAATCAACACTGAGGTTCTGGGTAAAATTTTGTTTTAATAAAACAGTTCCTCTGATAAAAACAGAGGTTGGAAACTACAGCAATTAGAGTGATCTGGAGTTTTACGTGCAGTTTTTATCTCATTTGAGTGAGTTGAGGTAATGACTTTACTATTTTCCTTGGCAGTTCTTCACAGATATAATCCCCATAACAGAATGGTGGGTATATGCACACGCAGAGCTGGCTTCTGGTAGGACTAGGGTAATGCCAGGCTTGATATGGAGAGTCCTGGAGAACTTTGAAGATTACCTCTAGGAAGCTGGGGCAGCTTGGTTGTGAATAAGTTTGCAGTTGCAAAACAATGGCTTGGTCAAATATGGTAGTTCAGATGGAGCTTGCACAGCATCAGAAGAGGGAAACTTGGTCAGGTAGGTTGGCAGTAAGACTGAGAATTAGGAACTGAAGACCCTTCGTAGAGAGCTCCCTTGAACAGGACAGGAGCACAGGCTAGAAGGAAGTCAGAGATCCCCCTCTAGAACCCAACTCAACGTAACAAAAATCATAAACACTAGAGAAACAAAGAGTGTGTCGAAGTTTGAGTTTCATCAAGAAAGGATGATTGTGCCCCCCAATTTTTTTCAATCCTTTTCCACAGAGTAATTTGATATTTTCTAGACATGCCAAGTTTACAGGATGTGAACTACTGGAAATTGAATGGGGAGCAAGAGTGTGGGGCAAGGTATAGCAGAATCCTTTAGCTGAGGGCCTTGTAAATCACACCATATAAGCAATGACTTTCATTGACTATGTGCAAGGCCACCCTTAGGTCTGATTAGTTGAATACATTGATCACAGCATGGAAAGGTTATCCACCTTTAGAACTGCTGGGAAGAAAGTGAGGAGCAGGATCAAGAACAGATGCTTTATCTCCCATTAGGTTGCACAAACCTGGAAAATCTAGAAATCTGCTGCCACTCCCAGCCCCTCAGACAGCTAACAGGAACCAGTGACAGACTACCCAGAATAAAAACTCCAAGGGGCATCTGAAGTTGAAGGTTATAGATGTCAGCTGATGTGGCCTCTTGGGAAAGCTAGTGCTCTATTTCAATAGGATTATGAGGTTTAATTGACTAGTGCTGCTAAAGTGTGTACCATCCAGTCACAGAGTTTGTAGTCTTAGCTTCATAGATTTGAGTTAATTTCCTCCCAAGGGAGGCATTTGCAATTTTCTTAAGTGATAGATTTCACCTAATACCCACAGTGGTTAAAATCTTGATAGTTAAAAAGTAAAAGTTAATGGGTTTCAAACAAGCTGTTCCCAATATCTACACAATTTGTTCTCTTTTTTATGAATATTCCCAGGTTGAGGGTGAATTGGATGAAATAGAAGAAATGCAAATCTCTTCTTCAGATTGGGTTTCTGAGACAACATCAAGTGCCAAGCAAGGGAAATTTCCATTTTCATTAAAAACAAATTTCCATTTTATTGAAAAATACTATCATTTTTGAACTGTAAGGATTAACAGTACCGAATTAAAATTCTACCACTTATTAACTATGCAAATTCGAATAAGTTACTTAATTTCCCTAAGTCTCAGTTTCCTCACCTGTAAAATAGTGGTAACAATAACTGTGACTATTAAATGAGATAATGCAAAATATAAGACTTGACACTTGCTTGGCAGATATATTACACCTATTTATTGCTATTATTACTAAATGTTTTGAGAATTGGTTTATCCTCTAATTAAGTAACTATGGATGTGGGTATTTAATTTATAGAACTAAACTTGAACTCGAAAGCTTGAGCAAAGCAAACATTTTAAATGGTTTTTCAAATTATTTTTCTATTACTTCTCTGTGTCAAATCTGAGTCTAATTTACCTGAAAGATGACACTCAAAACTGAGGTGATTATTGTACTGACAACTCCAATTATCCAGTCTTTTAAGGATCCTAATACGCATATATTATTCACTATAATCTTTTAATTTTTCAATGCTATCAGTTGGGTAAAGCATAGCTTGTTTGAGAAGATATTTCTTCATCTATATTTACAGAAAGAAAGGGCACATGCTACCGTGCTGTTTTATTGAGTAAAATAACCCATGGAAAAATCCTAATCTTACTGCTAGGATACTCTTAAAAAACAACAATCTACTTGAATTCAACTCTAAGCAGTATGTGCAAGGCACTAGGATACAATAATTAGTCATTAAGAAACAAGAGAAGCAGCTGCATTTCCTGTACAGTTTGTCTGTACCAGAAGCTGGAGAGCCTGAGAGAAATCTGTTTTAACAATTAAGAGAGATTTCTTAATCTCTATACGAACTATTAAGTAAGAAGAGTGAATACATGAATATATACTGAGAACACACCACCATAAAAAAAATCCGAATCTACATGTAAGGCTACACGTAAGAGTTTTAAAGCCACAAAACGTGGGTCGTCTTTGTGTGTTTAATCTTAAAGTTGTGTTAAGTTCTACTTTTGACCACACTTAACCAGGACTGAGCCATCCTCTGCCACAAACATCAGAAAATGCAGACCAATATGCTCCCCAGCAACAGAGTAAATTCAAAATATCTGTTGGTAGGAGAGGCAAGTTGTGCTTATCCTTTGGGCCATTGAGCAAATTTGGAATCATAGAAACTGTTTTTTTCTTACAAATACTTAGACTAGGAAATTAAAACAACAAACAGCACTTAAAATGGTAGCATTGTGCATATGAGACTTTGAGTATTATAATGAAAATCATTTTTATTTTTTATTTTTTTAAAGTTATGAATTGCTTATTTCTGGAATTTTCCATTTAATATTTTTGGACTGTGGTTGAAATCACAGAAAATGAAACCCTGGATAAAAAGGGGATTACTTGTGTTTCTTTTTAAAAAAACAACTTTTATTTTAGGTTCAGAGGTACATGTGCAGGTTTGTAATATAGGTAAACTCATGTCATGGGGGGTTGCTATACAGATTATTTCATCATCCAGGAGCTAAGCCTAGTACCCAATAGTTATTTTTTCTGATCCTTTCCTCCCTACCACCTTGCACCCTCAGGTAGGTCCCAGTGTCTGTTGTTCTCTATGTGTCCATGTGTTTTCATCATTTAGCTCCCACTTATAAGTGAGAAGATGTGGTATTTGGTTTACTGATCCTGCATTAGTTTGCCGAGGATAATGGGCTCCAGCTCCATCCATGTTCCTGCAAAAGACATAATTTCCTTATTTATGGCCACATAGTATTCCATGGTGTATATGTACCACATTTTCTTTATCCAGTCCACCTTTGATGGGCATTTAGGTTGATTCCATGTCTTTACTATTGTGAATAGTATTGTGAATGGTGCTGCAATGAACATTTGCATGCACGTGTCTTTATGGTAGACTGATTTCTATTCCTTGAGTATACACCCAGTAATAGGATTGCTGGGTCAAATGGTAGTACTATTTTTAGCTCTTTGAGGAATCATCACACTGCTTTCCACAATGGCTGAACTAATTTACACTCCCACCAATAGTGTATAAGTTTTCCCTTTCCACCACAACCTCTCCAGCATCTGTTATTTTTTGACTTTTTAACAATAGCCATTCTGGGCTGAGCGCAGTGGCTCATGCCTGTAATCCCAGCACTTTGGGAGGCTGAGGCGGGTGGATCATGAGATCAGGAGATCAAGACCATCCTGGCTAACACGGTGAAACCCCACCTCTACTAAAAATACAAAAAATTAGCTGGGCGTGGTGGCGGGTGCCTGTAGTCCCAGCTACTCGGGAGGCTGAGGCAGGAGAATGGTGTGAATCCGGGAGGCAGAGCTTGCAGTGAGTCAAGATCGCGCCACTGCACTCCAGCCTGGGTGAAAGAGTGAGACTCCGTCTCAAAAAAAAAAAAAAAAAAAAAAACAACAGGAAAAAAAAACCAATAGCCATTCTGACTGGTGTGAAATGATATCTCATTACGGTTTTCATTTGCATTTCTCTAATGATCAGTGATACTGAGCTTTTTTTCATATGCTTGTTGGCCGCATGTATGTCTTCTTTAGAAAAGCGTCCGTTCATGTCCTTTGCCCACATTTTAATAGGGTTGTTGGCTTTTTCTTGTAAATTTGTTTAAGTTCCTTATAGATGCTGGATATTAGACCTTTGTCAGATGGATAGATCACAAAAATTTTCTCTCATTCTGTACGCTGTCTGTTTACTCTGTTGATAGTTTCTTTTGCTGTACAGAAGCTCTTCAGCTCAATTAGATCCTATTTGTAAATTTGTGCTTTTGTTGTGATTGCCTGTTGTGTCTTTGTCATGAAATCTATGCCTGTTCCTATGTCCAAAATGGAATTGCCTAAGCTATCTTCCAGAGTTTTTTTACATTTAAGTCTTTAATCCACCCTGAGTTGATTTTTATGTATGGTATAAGTAAGGGTTCCAGTTTCAATCTACTGCATCTGGCTGGCCAGTTCTCCCCGCACCTTTTACTGAACAGGGAGTCTTTTACCCATTGCTTGTTTATGTCAGCTTTGTCAAAGATTAGATGGTTGTAGATATGTGGCCTTACTTCTGGGCTCTCTATTCTGTCCCATTGGTCTATGTGTCTGTTTTTGTACCATTACCATGCTGTGAAAAGCAATTTTAAATACCACAAAATTGACATCCACAGCTAATCTCCAACCTCTTTTACCAATTATTACTTCCTTTTCAAAGAACATCATTACTTATGCTAAATTATTTAGTATATTAATGAGCAGTTTTATCTATAAAGAAATAAGTAATGTATTTAGTAATTTTTATAGATTCTGATCTACACATACATCAGAATCATAATTAAAATGTGCTGCTTTTATTAAAAAGCAGTAAGCTCACTTGCAGGTTAAAAAGTTCGCCTGACACACTTCCGTGGATACTGATAGAAGAGCCTCCTGAATCAGAAACAAAGGACCATTCATTACTCAGAGCAATAACAGTAGCCACAGTAACATTTGCAATTGCACCAGAGCCCCAATTCCCATAGGGTTGTGTTGCAAGAGTGGAACCCTGAGCTTAGGGGATCCAAATCTTTTGTAACAGGCAGTAAGAGTATCTGCCTATTGCTCCAGAGGGAGATACTATCTCTATGTCCCAAAGCCATAAGCAACCCTATCCTTTCTCTTGAAAGAGACAACATCTCTATCTTCCAGATATTTTCTCTTAGCAAACATCCTTGAAAAGATGGTGGAGAACAAAGGGTACTCAGTGCCTGCTTTGCAAGATGTGCAGAAACCCATAGATAATTGCTGCTTAACAATACTAAGCAGTGATTTCTGAGGGAGAGTTTAGAGGAAAGAGAGAATCCTCTCCTGGTGAGTTTTCTGGTGCTAAGGGAGAAGAGTCCCCTTCATGCTGGGTAGGAGAGTTTGGGGAGAGTGTCCAGTTACTTGTGCCCTCAAGGAAGAAAATTTCACCTCCTATTCTTCCTTTTTTTTTCTGTCCCAATCTCTCAATTTCTTGGAACTTGTTATAGTTGAGGTCTTGGCATTCGAAGACTTGACTTGAAAATCAATTGCCTTAAACATAATTTATAATGGGTGTCAGATTCCCTGACTATTCCTCTCACTGTCTCCCCAAAGGCCCTATTAACCCATAATGTATCTGATTTATAGAACATTCAGTTTCAAATGCATTGTAAATTAAATAAAGTTGGCAGGCTAGCTGGAGACCATAACCACCACTTACGGAGTGTCTCATGTGGGAAAATGTGTTCTTATTAATGAATCTATTTAACTAATGGCTTTATGAACCATGGCTTTTATTAAATTGCATCTTTTTATTTAATAATCACATTTTTAGAATGTTATTAGAGGAGGTTTACTTTTGCAACTGTCTATGAAAGATGGCACTATATTCTGCAGCAAAAAAAAAAAAAAAAAAAAAGTCATCCCAAGTCAAAAGCCTGGAGAAAAAGTAAAAAGTATCTAAAAGGGGATTAAAGCTAAGGGTGTATAAAACAGCATGCTCTCAGATTATCATAATTCTCTCCCTAGAGAAGCATGATGGCCAGAAAACAAGTAGTAAAAGAAAAAAATTAACAATATTTCACAAAACTCTGAAAAATTAGTTTGTAATATGTCAGGAAGGAAAAAAAACAGAATTATCTCTCTCACTAGAAAAGAATTCTAGTTTTGAGAACATCGCTGAGTATTCCCAGTTTACATTCAAATTCTCTTATGAAATGGGGGCTCTTGTTATACAATAGAACATTACCATTTGTCATTACCATAAAAATGTTCTCTGGTATTCCACTTTCAAGTTTGTTTTTGCTTAATTTTGCCCTATTTCACATAGCTGTAAAAATCTTTTACTATGTCTTTTCTTATCTGTTTTCCCATTTATAACTTATCGAACATTTTTAGCATTTCAGCATTTTTATATCATACTTATTTTTAGAATTTATGCTCCACCTTTTTTTGCTGGTTGAAAATTATCCAGTTAGTTATATTTTTCCCATATGGAGAGACAGAAAGCAACTAGCAAAGCCAAGTGGAATCTTTCCATGTTGTAGTGAAAGGGGCAATCACTATTTCTGTGCTCTAACAGATTGCTGACACTTTTTGTGTATCAAAGTGAGGTTTTCGGTAACTCTGCCACCTTTAACTGTCCTTTATTTTGCTGTTTTCATGAGATCTTATTTCATGTTGATCTTGGGGGAGAATACCTCCTGGTTCTTCTGTAATTGTGGTTCTCCATCTCTTATCTATCTTATTGTTGAATTTGTGACTTATTTTCCATATATCTAGGGCATATTCTTGAAATGTTTCAAAATGTTATTATTATAAAATATCAAGTTACTAAATTACTCTAGGAAGTAATTTCAAATATTATAATAAAGCTCATATTAATTAATACCCAAAACATAAAAATCTAAGTGAACATTATCTTCTTCAACATAACTGCCTTAAGAATTTCTACTTTAGTCCATTGATCTTGCCATCAATTAAAAACACTTTCAGGGATTCCTCTTAAAGGTTTGCATTTAGAACCTGCTGCTTTGTTTCAAATGAACCCAGTGGCAGCAAATCCTAATTTTTTAAGTGTAGACTTTAATTTTTGGATAGAGATAATTGTCATCAGTAGTCTGGTGAATTGATTAATGATCCAACTAGAGGACTATTTGGAAGAAAAAGTATCTGATTATAGGGAATCAGAGTAGTAGTCCTGCCTGACTAAACTGGCTCTGAAGACGACTTCAGAAAGAACATCCAGAAAGTTTTGAGCCTTCTCAGGGGCCATTGGCTGCCCACATGCCTCTGGCTCCTTCACAAATCCCTGGTTCAGCTGGTGGTTGTGATGCGTCACATAGTTCCTGGCATGCCATTGTCCTGAATTCACCTACTAATTTTACCCTCAGAGAAAGAGAGAGTCTTTGGAGAGTTGTGAGGAGATAAGTGACATAAACTGGCATGTTCTGAAAGAATCACTCTGGATGCTGTGTGGAGAAAACACTGAAAAGGTAAGAGTAGAAAATGGAGTAGATACCAGGAGTCTGATTAGGAAACTACTGCAATAATCCAGGCAAGAGATGATGGTGGCTTGACAAAGAGAGAAAATGGAAGTGGTGGGAGTGGTTGAATTCTGAACATATTTTGAAGATACAGCCAACAAATTTCCCAACCTTTGTCTAGACTGGGTCTCAACCAGAAGCAATTTTACCCCTCAAGGGGCATTTAGCAATGTGTGCAGGTATTTTTGATTATCAAAACGAAACATGCTACAGTCGTCTAGTGGGTAGAGACCAGGGTTGCTGCCAAGCATCCTATATTGCACAGAACAGCCTCTCACAACAAGATTTATCTGGTCCAAAATGTCAATTATGCTGCTGAGACTGAAAAACTGTGCTCAAGATGCACTTTGGGCATCCTACTGTATGTTTAGGAGTGCTATAAATTTTTTTCCCAGTACATTTTTTATTTTTTTCTGTTTTCCTTTTTTTAACTGATAAATAAAATTGTATATATTTATGGTATACAACATGATGTTCTGAACTATGTATACCTTGTGGAATGGCTAAATAAAGCTAATTAACATATGCGTCACCTCGCATACTTATCATTTTTTGGTGAGAACTTATCTATTCCCTCAGCAATTTTCAATTATACATTATTATTGACTATAGTCATCATGCTTAACAATAGATCTCCAGCACTTACTCATCCTGTCTAACTTTGGCCAATATCTCCCCATTCCCACACCACCACTCCCCACAGACATTGGCAACTATCATTCTACTCTGCTTCTGTGTGCTCAACATTTTTTACTTCACACAAAAGTGAGATCACACAGTATTTGTAATTCTATGCCTGACTTATTTACTTAACATAATGTCCTCCAGGCTCATCTACGTTGTCAAAAATGGCAGGATTTTCTTCTTTTTAAAGGCTGAATAGTATTCTAATGTGTATCTATGTATATAAAGGGACAAAATTAGAAAGAATATATATAACACTTTATTTGCCAATGGACATTTAGGTTGATTCCATATTTTGGCTATTGTGAATAATGCTACAACGTATTCTATGAATACATTGTATAGTCTATGAATACATTGTAGCATTATTCTACACATTCTATTCAATGTATTCTTTATCACAGTATTCTATTGTGTATCTATATAAAGCCAAAATTAGAAAGAATATATATATAACACTTTATCTGCTGATGGACATTTAGGTTGATTCCATATTTTGGCTATTGTGAATAATGCTGCAATGAACATAGGAGTGCAGATATTGCTTCAGCATACTGACTTGATTTTCTTTGGATATATACTCAGAAGTGAAATTGCTGGATCATATGGTAGTTCTATTTTTAACTTTTTGAGGAACCACCATACTGTTTTCCATATTGGCTGTACTAATTTACATTCCTACCAACAGCGTACAAGAGCTCCCTTTTCTCCACATTTATCTTTCATATTTTTTATCATAGCCATTCTGACAGGTACATAAGGTAATATTTCTTTGTGGATTTTATTTGCATTTCCTTATTGATAGTGATGTTGAACATTTTTTCATTTACTTGTTGGCCATTTGCATATATTCTTGTTTTGTTTTGTTTTGTTTTGTGTTTTGTTTTGTTTTGTTTTTTGAGATGGAGTCTCGCTCTGTCACCCAGGCTGGAGTGCAGTGGTGCAATCTCCACTCACTGCAAGCTCTGCCTTCCAGGTTCACGCCATTCTCCTGCCTCAGCCTCCTGAGTAGCTGGGACTACAGGCGCCCACCACCACACCTGGCTAATGTTTTTTTTTTTTTTTCAGTAGAGACAGGGTTTCAGTGTGTTAACCAGGATGGTCTCGATCTCCTGACCTTGTGATCTGCCCGCCTTGGCCTCCCAAAGTGCTGGGATTACAGGCGTGAACCACCGCACCTGGCCCATATATTCTTTTAAGAAATGTCTATTCAGGTCCTTTGCCAAGTTTTTAATCAGGTGTTTTATGTTCTTGCTATTGAGTTATTTGAGTTCCTTGTATATTTTGGGCATTCATCCTTTATCAGGTGTATGGCTGGCAAATTTTTCTCCCATTCCATAGGTTGTCTCTTCACTCTGTTGATTGTTTCCTTTCCTGCACAGAAGCCTTTCAGGTTGATGCGATACCATTTGTCTATATTTGCTTTTGTTGCCTGTGCTTTTGGAGTCATATCAAAAAAATCATTGCTCAGACCAATGTTGTGCAGTTTTCTCCCTAAGTTTTCTTCTAGTAGTTTTTACAGTTTCAGGCTTTATGTTTAAGTCTTTAATCCATTATGAGTTGACTTTTGTATATGGTGTCAGATAAACATCCAATTTTATTTTTCTGCATATAGGTATCCTGTTTTACAAAACCATTTACTGAAAGACTGTTTTTTCCCATTGTGTGTTCTTGGCACCATTGTCAAAAATCCATTGACTATACATGGGTGGATTTATTTCTGGACTCTCTTTGTTTTATTGGCCTATATGTCTGTTTTTATGCCAGCACCATGCTGTTTGTAGTATATTTTGAAATCAGGCATTGTGATACCCCCAGTTTTGTTCATTTTGCTCAAGATTGCTTTGGCTATTTGGGGTCTTTGTAGTTCCATGTGAACTTTAGGATTGTTTTTTCTGTTTCAGTGGACAATGTTATTGGAATTTTGATAGAGGTTGCATTGAATCTGTAGATTTTTGGGGGTAGTATGGACATTTTAACAATATTAATTTTCCAATAAATTAATGAAACATGGTATCTTTCCATTTATTTGTGTCTTTTTTTATTTCTTTTATTAATGTTTTATAGTTCTTAGAGTACAGATCTTTCATGTCCTTAGTTAAATGTATTCCTATGTATTTATTTATTTTTGTAGCTATTGTAATTGGAATTGTTTTATTGGTTTCCTTTTTTGGACAGTTCATTGTTAGTACACAGTTCATTGTTAGTACATGCTACTGATTTTTGTATGTTGTTTTTCATCCTGCACCTTTACAATATGAAAATATTCTGTTAGAATATTTATTAGTTCTGACAGTTTTTTGGTGGAGACTTTAGAGTTTTCCACATATAAGGTAATGTCACCTGCAAACAGGAAAAATTGAACTTCTTCCTTTCCAATTTGGATGCCTTTTATTTATTTTTCTTGCCTAATTGCTGTAGCTAGGACTTCCTACTGTATGCATTAGGGGAGCTCACTATAAAGATTTTGATGATAAGCTAAAACTATTGTTCAAATGTCCATAGGAGAGGATAGACTCTAGAAAAATCCATTCATCCAATGGACTCAAAGCCAAAATTAGAAAGAAGCTTCCCAGTGGACCTACTGCAGGACTAATGAGTACATCTGTTCAGATATGGTTTGATCCGCTAATGAATCCAGAAGGAGGTCAACTAAAATCAGGACTTTTGCTCAGACACCCAACATCTGGCCTCCATATCAGCCACTGAAGTACACCTGCATGCAGGTTCCTTCTGATTTCCCTGAGATTGAGCAACAAATAAAGATAAATCTTTATGAGCCCAAGTGAAGCCTGCCTCACAAGTTTTCCAGTCTCACTACACCAGAGGAAGAAATCTGTTGTCCACCACACTAGGGCAATCACTGTACATATTTGCCATTTTAAGGATTCATCTACTTGGGGTTTCCTCACTCCATAAAGACATACCAAGCTCTGTGATATGCACCAAATAATGGTAACTTAGAGCACTACTCTATAAGTGTAGGCCTTCTTTTACTTTTAGAAACATTTGGTTTGAGAAAATGATAATCAAGATTCTAAATCCCAATTCTAGGAGAAGGGGCTACTAGGTTGGGGCAAATATCAAACTATCATGGGTGTTTCTATTGTCAATAACACATTAGAAAGCGCAAAGCTGTAAGACTCTTTCCCAGTCTCAATTGACAGTAAAATTAGACAGGTCTTTCTTGTTATCAAGACAGGTCTTTCTTGTTATTATTCAAGTCCTTAAACTTATAAGGTTTCATAGGCAGGCAGATGTATTATGATATAAAAATCTGTGTTAAGGAACTGACCACATGTGATATAGTTTATACTCAAAAATTCCTTCCTGCTTCGCATTAGCTCTTATCCTATGCATCATTTTCATATCTTTGCCATTTTCTTACAAAAATTATGGCATGTTATAATTATCAGTGAAACTGAAAATCTTGCAAAAGATGCAGACTTTGATGAAGTCTATAAAAGTGAAATTGGAAAACAACTCAAACCATTTCAAACCATTGAAAAATAAAGATTTGATGACAAAGTAAATCCTTCAAAAGAGGGTTTGAAGAAGACCTTGAATATTTTGCAAAGATAACCTTCTTTATAAGCATGCCACAAAAGTCAAGCAAGAAGTGAAGGATGCCCTGTTGTGCTATTCTATAATTTTGTTAGAAAAATTAACCCCTCAAAAAGCCTTTCATTTATTTTTTGTGCATCCTAAGAATTAGCACAATTATATGCAAAGTCTAACCTAGATGCTGTTAATTAGGAAATAAAATTAGCACCCTGTTATAATTTATAGACTAAATTAAAGTCCTAGCTTTTCTCTTCAACATAAAAATAAACAGAAAGTTTCCCCCAATTCCCTTATTCCCTGACATTCCACCACTCACATTACAAATTCAGTCCTTTCTTAAAGCTACGGTTTGCCTCTGCCTGTTTATTAAAGTGTGACATGTATCCTCCACCCCCTAGCTAGGACAACTTCCTTTTCTTTCCAGTGGTTAAGTACTGGCTGGATTACTCACTTCCAGTAGCTGGACGCTTAACTCCAGTGAGCTACAAGGACACCTGGCCCAACCTCTCAAACAGGCCTTGGTCCTGACCTAACCTATCCTGTTCAGTTAGGTCAGGACCAAGGCCTATTTGAGAAATTAACCACCTAAACAAATGGATGGTCCTTACAAAAAGCCAGAGGGTCCTGAGTTCAGAGCAGCCCCCAAAATGGAAAAACAGTTTGAAACTCAACATTTCAAACAAATGTCTAAACTTTAGCTGATTCTAACTTGGTCTATAATTGAACAGTTCCCCTGTCACTTTCAGAGCCAAACAAAACTCTTGTTGTGCTCCAGAAGGGGTTCTTCCTCTTTTAAACTTTACAGATTGACCTGGCTGCAGAATGGCTTTATCCCAGTTTGCTGACCTGCCCTTCAATTCAGGCCTAGCTCCTGTGAGCCTCCATTTTACAAATGGAATATGCAGGTTTAGAAGGATTAAGTGTTGCTCAAGGTCATGAAGTGAATAAGTAGCAGAGCTGAGATTTGAACCCTGGCAGCTTGATTCCAGAGCCTACCGACATCACCATACTGCAATATTGACTCAATTAGCATAAGAATATCAAGCAAAACCTAGAAAGAAGGCTAGTACTCTAGCAAGCCACTTAGAGAGAAACTGAATATTGATGGAAATTTCATGGTGAAACTTGGATCATACCAGGAGCAACTGCCTGCAGCCCCTACACATGAGGATGGACTCACCCATGTAGGAATTAATAAATTTAAATCTCTAGAAATTTCTTCCAAAACAAAGCTGCTAGAAATCTTATATTATAAAAAAGAATGTTGTCTGGTGTTTAAAACTGGACTAAAATTTGAAACAAAAATATACCACCGAAACCTAACGTACTGATTCTAATTCTTGCATTCAGTATACCAATCCTTGGGAGAGTCAGGAAATCTCTGTGCTTCTGTATGTTCATCTTAAACATATAACAACACAGGTAATAATGCCTGGCTACACTCTCTCAATGAGTTTTAAATGCCAGTATTTTCTGAGACCATCAGAAAAAGGGTATCACATAAATTCAACATGACTCATCTTTTGCTTACTTTTAGCCACTCCTGCCATTTTTACATTCACTTGTATTACACTCTAATCTCTCTTACTTGGTCATTGAAAGTCACTGCCTGTACTTTGTACCATGTAAGTGTACAGGTACATAAAGAAGCATATCCATCATTACTCATTTATCATTAAATTGGTTTTAACATCAAACAACTGAAAAGATTCCATCAAGAAGCCAATCCATAGAAAACCAGATCATTTTTTAAAATCAGATACAATTGCCCTTGTATTATATTAAAGACACATCAATTATTTTATCTTCTGTTATATCATTTTTAGTGTAAAAAACATAAATTTGTTTCCTCTTTCATTATTGCTCTAACATTTGTGCAGTCTTATCAGGATATCAGCATTTAATTTTTTTTACATAATTCAATTGATTTTTTTTTTACATAATTCAATTTGAAGTGTTTTTCTTTTCCACTGAATATTTTTATTTGTGTCTCATTTTCCTTACCAGGTATTATTTTTGGTGATAGTGGACTAAATATCATTCACAATCTCCAAAATGTTTTCATCTAGCCCTTTTTTAAAATTTCTGTATGTATGAGTGTGTGCGTGTGTCTGTGTGTCTGTGTGTGTGTCTGTGTGAAGCATAATGGCACTATTCATTTGAAGTTCCCTTTTAGGGGCTATGTTAATTGGACAGCAGGAGAGCCTTAATTAAACATGTAAAGCTTTGACATTATTATTACATTTAAGCAAACAAGGCTTTCACAAGTTAAGATTTTTAAGATTTAGGCTCTCTTTTGCTGCTACAAAAGTTTCATTATAATGGTGGTTCCCAAAGTGCGGTCCCAGGACCAGTGACATCAACATCGTCTGGGAACATTTTTGAAATTTTTGCTCCCCGTTCCCATACCCAAAGAATCAGAAAGTATAAGGGTAAGGCCCAACAACCTGTGCTTTAACAAGCCTTCCATGTGATTCTGATGTACACCAAAGTCTGAAAGCCACTGCATCATGGAGATTATTTTTAACGTCCTTGAGAGCAGGAATGATGTATTTTCTTGTTTGTATCACTCACCTGAGTGTCCAGCACTGTGACTGACACATGATATAGGTGCCTATTAAATAGTTTTGGTGTGCATAAATCCATTGATCAATTAATTGTTTCTAGGATAAATTTGGCATTGTTCTCTCCTGACTTCTGTCTTCTTCACACTTGTCATCCATAAAATTGAGATGATTCTGTGAAGAGGTGTTAAGTATGAAAAAACATGACTCACATTAGGCTCTGTCACTGTCTTCTCAGCACAATACTCTCACAGTGCCCAGTGTTACTTTTAAGTTCTCCATGATGAGTGGTTTTTCAGGACACTTAGAAGTAACTTGCATATCAAGCAGGAAGAGCACAAAGAAACTGCAGGATATTGAACTCTGCAGAGCGCTACATTGCGCTTATATCATCACATCATTTTATTTCCCTCCATAATGTAAGAGAGGAAGTCTATCATCAGATAAGCATTTAGCTTAAACACAGTTCCTGCTACATTGTTCCCAAAATATAAAGCCAAGAAGATTAACCATGGTATCTGAAACTGTAGGTATAATTGTATGCTCCAGAAGTAGTGTTTGCCTGACCTGAGAATTATATAAGAAACACAGGGGTTTTTTTTCCCCCATCAGAGAAAAAAGTGTCTTTATGAAGCTTTATGAAAAATGCTGCATGCATTTCTGTATTTCATGAAATATTTATGGATAATGACAGGTTTGCCAAAATTATGTAATCAGCCATTTCTAAATTTGTGCTGTTATAATTAATGTTTATTTGAAAGTCCTCAGAGAGGAACAGAAGATACATCTCCAGTTTTGTAATGATGTGAGGTTATTCTCCTGGCTGCTCTTCCAAACACCTGGGCTAACACCTAGGTAAATCAGATAATGCTAATGAGCACATATTAATGAAGGTCAAGCTTTACTGTTCGCATAGCTAATTTTTTTAAAAAAACTAAATTCCTCCTTTGGACAGTATTATTATCAGCAGATTTTTACCTGCAGCTCAAACTACATTAAAAACTAGAAACCTCCCCCATCAGGCTTCAAGTCCCTCATCTCCCCAATTTTAAGATCCTCTTGCTTGCTGTTTCTAATAGTTTTGTCTGATATATTGTGAAGTCTGCTGTTGTAGGAGGAGACTTGTATTTGGATTTTGAAAACTTGGATTTCAATTCTTTAGCTACCATTGAAGGCAATCATTTCTCCTTTGAACTGCAATTTCCACATCTGTAAAGGAAAAATGATAGCTTGGCGAAAGTGACCTTTAAAAAGTCAGTTACTACAGCTGCTATCAAAAGGAAAAAAAAACAAACAAACATAAAATAACAAGTGCTGGCAAGGATGTGAAAAAATTGCAACTCTTGTACACCCCTGGTAGGAATGTAAAATGGTGCAGCCACTACAGAAAACAGTATGACTGTCCCTTAAAAGAATTAAAAATAGAATTACCACATGATCCAGCAATTTTACTTCTGGTCATATACTCAAAATAATTGAAAGCAGGGTTTTAAAGAAATGTTTGTATACCCATGTTCATAGCAGCATTGTTCACAGTAACCAAAAAGTGGAAGCAACCCGTGTCCATCGATAATGGATAAACAAAATGTAGTTTATACATATAATGGAATAATAGCCTTAAAGAGTAAGGAAATTCTAACACATGCTATAAAGTGGATGAACGCTTTATGAGAATATTATGGTAAATGAAATAAGCCAGTCACAAAAATGCAAATACTGCATGACTTCACTTATACAGGGTATTAAGAGTAATCAAACTCATAGACACAGCAGGTAGAATGGTTGTTGTCAGGAGCTGAGGAAGAGGAAAATGGAGAGGTTGTTACTTAATGGCTATAAAGTTTTAGTTTTGCAAGATGAAAAAGTTCTGAAGATTGGTTGCACAACAACATGAAAATGCTTAACGTAACTGTACATTTTTAAATGATTAACATAGTAAGTTTTATGTTATGTGTATTTTATCACAATTAAAAAGTAAAAATAAAATCATTTGCTATACAAAATTTAACTTCTCCTTATCATCTCCTTCCTTTGTCCTAGAATTCTAGAGTGAAAGTTTCATGAATATAAGAAGCAAGACAAGGAAGTGGCTTATGCTTAAGGCCTTAAAGGCAACCACTGTGACAATCCAGCCATTCTCTGGAGAATTCAGCAGAAAGCCAGTTGGAAGTAATGTTTTCTGTTTGTTTTTCTCTTTTTTGCCCTCCTGGCTATAATGAGAAACCCAAGAAAATAAGTCTTTCCATTGCAGGACAGCTAAATTGCACAAGCATTCAAATTTCTCCCCTTTGACTCATACTCTGTCATCTCTATTTTGGCTTCCACTTTTGGAGAAGGTCTCCACCCCCTACCCCGGCCCTCTCCTCACTGCCCCATGCTTTGAGTGCAAACACTCCAGATTTTCAACCTTCTCCCCTCCATTTCCCACTTCTCTTTCCCAAGAATCGAAGCTTTTTCTGTAATAAATCTCTAAATCAACTAAACTGCTATACAGATTTACATTAGGTTTTGATTGTTGATTATGGCTTATTCCAAAAATAATTTCCATTTTAGAAAAGCATTCAATGCCCAAACACAAAAGTATTCATAAACTTAAGGTAAGAATTTCAGGCACTGTATTTTATCCACTAGATTAAGGAACCAAGCAGTCCTTTTTGCCTTTCAAATCATTCTAAGTAATCAGCTGCTTGTTCTGCTATATAAAGAACTATCTCTGCTCTTTGTACTATCTCTGCTCTTTAAACTCATGCAGTTATTCATTCAATAACTACTTACTAAGCCTGAGCCACATACAGAGTACTGGCCTGGCAACTGTCAACATTTCTTCAACAGCCCAGCAGGCAGCTTTTCCTACCTCTCACTAAAATACCAATAAAAACACAGAAGAACGGAGCTCACTGCAGCACTGACAATCAAGATGGAAGCCAGCCTACCTCTGGCTGTGGGAAAGATTGATGATTCTAAAGCAGAGAGAGACATCTTCTCAGATATAAGCACATAGCATTTCCCACCTTCAATCTACAAAAAAAGATGTCCTGAGAGAAAGAGGAGGAAGAAGCAATAAATAGTGTGTTGGCATAGATCCTAACACAGAGTTTAGAGTACGGTACAGATTTTATACAAGAAAGTATGATTCATGATAGAAAGTGTTTTTTCTGGGAGGCTGAGGCAGGAGAATGGCATGAACTCGGGAGGCAGAGGTTGCAGTGAGCGGAGATTGCGCCACTGCACTCTAGCCTGGGCGACAGAACGAGACTCCGTCTCAAAAAAAAAAAAAAAAACGTGTTTTTTCTCCATTTAGTGTTCCCTTTGTCTCCACATGAGCCTGGTTCTTCAGGTTTCTGCAGAGTTCATGTATCTCTGGGTTTAAAATACAGTGCTATAATTGAACAGGCTTTACTTTCTCTGTTTTAAAATTATTCTGTGTATTTAACCTTTTAAAATAAAATAATATGTTGAACACATTGTTGCCAAATTTGCATGGATAATTGACTCATTTATGCATTTTGTTTTTGGATAATAGCATTCTGTGCCTTTAAACCATGCCGCATTAAAAGTATACTAACATCCCCAGAGCTCACACAGTTATTTTTTAATATTACCATTGAAAATCTACTCCTATTACTGATTTTCATTGGTTTCTTCCAGTCCTCGATTTTTAAAATAGTATCTGAAGTGTAGAGTAGTTGAACGATCAATATAATTCCAGTGAAATTTTTACAGGGAGAGCATCTCAAAAGTGTGATGTAAGTGAAAAACAAAAACTGACCTCCGCTCTCAAGCAAATTCTAAAAAAAAATAAATAAATAAAATTATCTTTACCTAGTTGTATTTGAAACAAATTAACAATTACTGGAGATGACAGTAAGCTGGCATGAAAAATACTTGAATTATTCTATCTGGAGGAAAGAAAACTCACGGTAGACAAAAATAATTTTAGTATACAATGGATTATTTTTAAATGTATGCCAAATAACAACTCATCCAAAAATTAATCCCCATTTATAGATGAGGAAACTGAAGTATTCCTTAATTATTGATAAATATATAGAGATGAATAGAAAACTTTCTAAATTTGAGGGGTTTTTTTTGTTTTGAGTCTTATGCTCTAACCAATATTCCACTTTTTAATCTTTCAAACCTATTACCAAATAAACAGAATGCAGAGAAAAGGACATGAAAAGCCTCAAGCTTAAAATGGCATACAAATAAGACAGGAACATATAAATTAGTAACTTAGCAGAACTGTGTTTGCAAGCAAAATTTTGTAGGAAATTATAAATTATGATGTGGGTATAATGAAATAAAATTGTAATAATGTTCAATAGCTGATTTTCTTTAAAATAATGTTATGGGAAACTTTCATTTTATGGCACTTACTTTCTTTATTAAATATTATATGTCATAGCTCAGATGTAAATCTGATCTACCTTTTTTCACAAGATAGCTCGTGAGAATGCTTGAAAAGCTAAATGTCAGGTTTATGCAGAGCCAAAATTAGCCAAGCATGAATAAAAATCAGAAAAGATATACCACAAATTGATAACAGTGGTTGCCTTTACAGAATGGATTTGGAGTTGGAGAAAGAGGGGGATTATTCTCTTGTGTCATGTATTTTGTTTAAATTAGTTATAATTATCACATATTACTTTTATGATTTAAAAAATTAAGCATTGAAACTTCTGATCAGATGTCAAATAATGCTGCTTCTGAGCTCAAGCAGTTTCTGAGTTAGGGGAACAATATCTACTAATGATCCATAATTTAATTTCCACATCTCCACATACATGAACAAGACTCAGAACTATTGCCAGTTGAGGTATGGGAGGGTGGAGAAAGGGAGGAGTACAGGTAGATGGAATTTTTTGACAATCCATGCATCCAAAAGAGTGAGTGAGGGAAGTTGTGGACAGAATGAACAGACTGTGAATCCAGATTCCCAAACAGGGCTCTGGCCCAAGTAAAATACTTCCTGAATTATTATTATTATTATTTGTACTTCAGTCGTTACACCCCATAAAATTCTACCAAAAAGATTATCCTTTGGTTTACATCTTTCTTAAAATGCAAATACTTCTGGAAAGGGTAAAGTGCTATCCCCTATACACATATTAGTAAATGTTAGTTTAATTTCATGTCCTTATAACAGCCAGCTGAAATTAGCTTCTCTGAGGAGAGAAAAGTCAGACTGTTTGTAACCTTCTTTTCTTTTTTCTGTTGTTGTTGTTTGTTTGTTTGTTTGAGATGGAGTTTCACTCTTGTTGCCCAGGCTGGAGTGCAGTGGCGTGATTTTGGCTCACTGCAACCTCCACCTCCTGGGTTCAAGCAATTCTCCTGCCTCAGCCTCCTGAGTAGCCTGAGTTGGAGGAGATTACAGGCGCCCATCACCACACCCAGCTAATTTTTTGTATTTTTAGTAGAGGCAGGGTTTCATCATGTTGGCCAGGCTGGTCTTGAACTCCTGACCTCAGGTGATCCACCTGCCTCAGCCCCCGAAAGTGCTGGGATTACAGGCGTGAGCTACCATGCCCAGCCCCATTTGAAACCTTCTGATTGGCAACAGAGACCAAAATGCTGAACAGAACAGGATTTGGTACAGCAGAGAGCATGCAACTCTGGGAACTATGGAAAAGGATTCCAGGCATCATAAAGGAAGAAAGGCCAGAAAAGAAGGTGGTGGATACCAAAAATTCTGTGGACTACCTAAAAAAGCACCCAGTAAGAAAGAAAAAAGAAAAGATTTTTTTCTTTTACCTTGTTGCTTTTACCTTTTCTTACTTCTCCTTTCTTCTTTTTTACTTCAAATATTGAAGCAAGTATTAGTACTACAGTTGATTTATATATAATGATCTAAACAAACCAGTCGAAGCATCCCTCTTCCACCCTATCCTCCACCCCCTATGACTTCCCCACCACCTCCCACAGCCTAAACATACATAAAGGTTTTATAATAATAACAAGAATAATGATTTCATAAGAATAATGCACAAAAAAATTTACTTAAGAATCAATGAGATTAAATTATCAGTGTAAAAACTGGAGGGAAAAGAGGAACAGAGAAACTTCATTTCCTGTTAACCAAATGAATTTTAGTCTACCATTGTATTAACTAATGAAAATTACTTTCCACTGGTTTGTATAACTATAGCAAGGAGAGTGCAAACTTGAAAAGATTTCTGGTCTTGCATAACTTTAGGTTCAACTGTACTTAGAGACTGAAATAGGACTAAATGGGGACAGATGATAAACACCATTCAATGAGAAAATAACAATTTTTAACACTAGAAAAATCACTAATTTTACCTGAAAGTTTAATATTCAACATAAAAGTGAAATAGAACCTAATGCCTGCAGATAAAATGGGGTAAGGAGGCGGCAGTGGAGGAAGAAAAACTGATACTAGACAATTACCATGTAATGTCACTTGGCAAAGAGAAAACCAAAGAATGAGTGCTAATGGTAACTTGATATTGCAGTTGGAGGAAAAGAAAATCAGATAGGAAAAATTGGGAGGTATGTGAGCAATTGCTGAAAGAAAGCTATGGGTTAGGAGTATGAAGTTGCTTTTAAAAAGCATCAGAAATTCTCCAAACCTCAATTGCTAAGCATTACTTAACAACTACTTAAGATGGAATAATACTGCTATTTTTAGCATTATCTAGGGAACAGAAAAATAATCTGCCTGGGTTGAAAAATAATTCACAATAAATGGAATGTCTGAAGACAGTGTTTAGGGTGAACCAACCTCTTCATAAAATAGACCAAGATTTCTTTTTATTGGTTTTCATTTGCACGTTTTATTTGGTTATGACAGATTTCAAAAATTATTTGAAGAGTATATCCAAGTGGGTCTTTGAAAATTGTAAGATCTACTCAGTTCTTTATATATATATATATTTTTTATTGTACTTGAAGTTCTAAGGTACATGTGCACAACGTGCAGGTTTGTTACATATGTATACATGTGCCATGTTGGTGTGCTGCACCCATTAACTCGTCATTTACATTAGGTATATCTCCTAATGCTATCCCTCCCCCTCCCCCCACCCCACAACAGGCCCCGGTGTGTGATGTTCCCCTTCCTGTGTCCAAGTGTTCTCATTGTTCTATTCCCACCTATGAGTGAGAACATGCGGTGTTTGGTTTTTTGTCCTTGCAATAGTTTGCTGAGAATGATGGTTTCCAGCTTCTTCCACGTCCCTACAAAGGACATGAACTCATCCTTTTTTATAACTGCTAGTGTTCTATGGTGTATATGTGCCACATTTTCTTAATCCAGTCTATCATTGTTGGACATTTGGATTGGCTCCAAGTCTTTGCTATTGTGAGTAGTGCCACAATAAACATATGTGTGCATGTGTCTTTATAGCAGTGTGATTTATATTCCTTTGGGTATATACCCAGTAATGGGATGGCTGGGTCAAATGGTATTTCTAGTTCTAGATCCCTGAGGAATCGCCACACTGTCTTCCACAATGGTTGAATTAGTTTACAGTCCCACCAACAGTGTAAAAGTGTTGCTATTTCTCCACATCCTCTCCAGCACCTGTTGTTTCCTGACTTTTTAATGATCGCCATTCTAACTGGTGTGAGATGATATCTCATTGTGGTTTTGATTTGCATTTCTCTGATGGCCAGTGATGATGAGCATTTTTTCATGTGTCTGTTGGCTGCATAAATGAATAGACTAAGATTTCAGTGATTGAGTCTCATGGCATGTGATAAAGAGTTAGTGATAAAGATTTAAATGGCACATAACATCATCCCAATTGAATGCATCGGGGGGTCATGATGCTGTGTGGTTAGTAAGATATACTCAGTGTGCCTATAACCCAGATTGGCTTCTGTGCTGGCCTTGTTGTTTGACATTAACCTCAGTAATGTCCACAGTGCTTCCACCCCTCTCTCATCCTCAAAGATCTTCTCACCACTAATATAGCAGCAAAGAGGGATAGTCTCTGCAACTTCAGGCTTTCTTGCTGTCCCCAAAGACAAACACACAGGACTTTTGATTTTAAGGGGATGGCAAAACCAAAATGCATGGGGAAATTACAAAATTTAAGCAGTTTTATGATGTTGTTATGACTATGTTCCCTGATCTGTGGTAGCTGACTTCTGAGTAGTCATTGAAGGAATCACTTCTGATCTCTAAGATTTAGTCTTGAATATGAGTTTTTCAGCTTTCCTTTGTCTATGCCATCCCTAGCCCCAGTCTCTTGGAGTAATAACAACCCCCATTCAAGAGGAATCCTCCTGTAGGCCTGAGGACCCAATTTGTGAAGACAAAGTGTTTGCTTTTTCTTACAATGAGTGACAATCAATATAGCTCACAAGAATGTTTTCTTTGGATCCTTTCCTTACAAGGATTTCTGCTGCCATTTATCACCAATTGAAAAGGAACATATTAGAATATATGCTATTGCAAGATTTGTTGTTAATTTTAAAACACAAAATGGTGAAAATAATTAGATATAGTTAAGTTTAAATTGTCTACACTGTGCTCCAAACTGCAAATTGAATTAAATTAAATTTTGCTTTAGGGTTTGAAATGGAAATTACAAGCGCAATATTACAGAAGTGTGGATTTTAGTTACAATGTCTCTATGAGAAAGTCTAAAAGTTAAACATAAGCAAAACAACAAAAACATCTAAATACCAGGTTAGTTTTCTCTTAATCTCATATTTTTGTTTTAAATGTACACATTTCTGAACTACTTACCAATACTTCTTTTGTCTTTAATTTTTACCTCTTTTAATGTATACCATCAATTTGATTACCATCAATTTGTTTTCATTAGATGATTATCTCATCAAAGTGGGTATGGAAGATGATTGTTTGCGAAAATAGGCTTCTTGAGGGCGGATTTTATGTTTAATGTTTGCTTTTATCCCTAGGAAAAATAAATAAATACCACATGCAGAAAAATCACTTACATGATAATTGTTTATAAAACAATAAAATGCAAATCTAGTGTTTTAAATCCTACCAAGAAGTAGTATGAAATATCAAAATGTTGACTAGAATGTATCCTTTTATAAGAAAGTTCTGCTAGACTTAAATATCTATCCCATACCGGGACTTCATATTTTACAAGTTGAGGTTCTCCCAAAGCTACGCAGCCAACAAGCTTTCATCTTTCATCTTCTATAATGAACACATTATATCCATGGAACCTAGGTCAGAGAAGATTAATGTGTACTGAACAGGGAGGGACAATTCAAGCAGGTACAAGTTTTAAGGTGATTATGATCCATGCTATCCTGAGGGCATGGAAGGAAGAGGAGGTTCCAGGGGCACAAAACCAACTCACTGGGCACGTACAACTCCTCAGATGCTTTATGATACCACTGAGTGCATGAGGGCACACACAGAGGAGCATATACAGAGGGTGCAGTGATGTATGTGCAAGAGCTCATTGGCTGTTGCCATAGAGGCAGCCAGTAATGGCATATAGGGAACAAATAGAAGGACATAAAAAGAGATGACTGTGCCACATATACTGAGAAAGAAACCTGCTAAATCCTCTCCTCTCATTGGTCATCGCTATGGAGACAGCCTTTAAAAGCCCATAGGAGATGGAAATTAGATTCTAGTTTAAACACACACACACACAGACACACACACACACACACGACACACCACACACCCCTTCTAGATGTGAGCATCCACATGAACAATATTTAAAGTCAATTTCATTATCTGTTTTCAGGAGTCATTAATAACATACAGCAAGGAGAATCCCCCTAGATACACAGAAAAATATCGGCATTATTTAATAATGTTGAAAAACATCTTTTTTCCTACCCTGGTATTCATTTCAAAAAATTATCCAATTCATCCAATTTTATCTCTAGGTTATATGTCAGATTCCAATACCACTGGATCCCATTAACAGGTCATCCTTTCAAATAATAAATACAACCCCCTGCTGCACAGAAAGTGCTTAAAGACCTTGAAGCCCTGATGTTTGGCAGGTAGACATTTCAAGTTTTGTCGATTGTTTACACCTTGGATAAATGTTTTTCAGTGAGGCATTAATAACAAGGTTCCCCAGTACCCCATTATGTTAAAAAAAATCCGTTGAGCTTTAACCTGCTGCTCACAAGGCATAAAGGAAATGGTCGTTTCTTAAATTAGCTTTTTCTGTTTCTTTTAACATTATAGTAGTTTGTACCAACTCAATTACCAACATAAGGATCATCTCTTGAATTATTTTCAGTTTTTCATTTGCTCTAACATCCTGCAGTAAGTAGTAGCTAAGCAATCTAAAACTTCGATTTATCCTGGTTTTAAAATAATACATGGCAATATACAACTTGGTCTAAGGAAAATGTATATTGTAGGAAAAACATATTAAAATGATGCCTCTGAGAATATGGAAAGTAGTCCCCACTTTTTATTTACTAGGAAAAGACCCAGCAAATAGAAGAGTCGAATAACTTATGTTTATGTGTTATAAAGAATTTTTTTCTTCCTTGTGTGATACGAATTTGTTAGGTAGTAAACTAGGAAAGAGTATATGTTTGAACTTTCTTGATACTACAGATTGAGGTGGAATTTCACTGTGGCTAGATTCTTTAGGAGATATGAAACAGACATGATAAAGTATACATTTGAAGTGACCTAGAGGTGGGAAGCACAGGTAATTATTACTCTTTGCAAGGACCATTCTAGCTATGAAAAGGAACTGGAGAGAGGGAAGAGAGAGTCACAGGTAGTTCCTGGATTTATTCCTGGAAATTTACTTTTAAAGAACAAATAAGAAATTGTACAACCAAGGAAGGCACATGCTTTTGTTGCAAAAGTCTAACTATCAATAGGGGCCACTAATTGCTATGGAATGTTCTGGGCCACTTTTCTAGCTGAGGGGAAGGATTATGTCTTCTGCTTGAAAAATAGAGAGCTAGAGACAGAAAGGTCAAAATAAAGATAGACTGTCCACCAACCCAATGCAACCAAATATTTAACATAAACCCTTCTGCCCTCCAAAGGTCAGAGCCAAACAAGCTACACTCTATGGGAACTTAACTGAGTTTTCATTATGTCAGTATGTCCTAGAATCATAGATTTTCTTGGCTGGAGATCAGCCCATATTTGGAAACGATAAAGCTCTATCTATGCACTTGATGTCAGAAGCAATCCTGAACCCAATGTACCTTAACATTTATGGAATACATCTGCCACAGGCTGTCTACACAACAGCGTGACAGATAAAAAGAAACACCAGAACTATGCAGAGGAGGGACTGGATCTTATCAGTGAGACAGAAAGATATGCTTACGTGGACTCTAAAACGCTCCGCGGTATCTAACTTTATTTCTTTGACACCTAAAACGGGATGCAACCTTCAAGCATGACCGATCTGTTATTTTTAAACAGAGGGGAAAATCTGGCAATGTAAATAGAAAGTATCTGTTTACATAGGTTTTTTAGAATTTGATCTGAAATTTTAGCAAGTTGCAGAATGGGTTGTGAAGCACAACATTTCATCTCTTTGATTCTAGACACTATCCTCAGAAATTAGATTTGAAAAATGAGCTTCATTTTCGAAGAACATATTGTAAGTAATAATAATAATAGAATTGACTTATTTAAATCGGTCATAATGATATAAGAAATCTTAGAAACTTGTTTAATTTTCCTGGGAATCTAATATTCTTATTTTAGGTTATTACACACAGAGATTATTAATATAGTTTTAAGTTAATTGACTTTTCATGCTGTAACTTTAGTTGCCACTATACAGATTTTCAATTGCAAAGAAAGCTCTCTAGGGGTTATTTTCCCTTAATTTCTTTGTATTATTTAATATGTATTTTAACTCCTTTTACTATCATTCCTAATCCTCTTAATTATAAACCTGAAATTTCTGTAATTGCCAGCCAATGAATGGGAGTGCTTGGACTGTGACCTGCACATCCAAGCAGTCTGACTTTCCATGGGCACAGTTACTATGTGATGAAACTATAGCATTTACTTATGCTCAAATATATAAATATATATCATATATAATATATGATATACATGTATATCATATATAATATATGATATACATGTATATCATATATAAATAAATATAACATTTATTTATACTCAATTATGTTATTTTCTTTATTATACTTTAAGTTCTGGGTTATGTGTGCAGAGTGTGCAGTTTTGGTACACAGGTATACACGTACCTTGGTGGTTTGCTGCACCCATCAACCTATCACCTACATTAGGTATTTCTCCTAATGTTATCCCTCCCCTAGCCCCCAACCCCCCGACAGGTCCCAGTGTGTGATATTCCCCTCCCTGGGTCCATGTGTTCTCATCATTCAACTCCCACTTATGAGTGAGAACATGCGGTGTTTCATTTTCTCATCTCGTGATAGTTTGCTGAAAATGATGGTTTCCAGCTTCATCCATGTCCCTGCAAAAGACATGAACTCATTGTTTTTTATGGCTGCATAGTATTCCATGGTGCCACATTTTCTAAATCCAGTCTATCGTTGATGGACATTTGGGTTGGTTCCAAGTCTTTGCTACTGTGAATAGTGCCACAATAAATATATGTGTGCAGGTGTCTTTATAGTATAATGATTTATAATCCTTTGGGTATGTGCCCAGTAATGGGATTGCTGGGTCAAATGGTATTTCTGGTTCTAGATCCTTGAGGAATCACCACACCGTCTTCTAAAACATGTATTCATATTAGGATATTTCAGCAGGAATAATAACAAAGTTTCCCCATTCCTACTAATCTGTTTATCAAATCAGTAAAAACAAAACAAAACAAAACAAAAAGACATAAAAACCACAATAGACAGTTGAGAAATAACTTGAATGAATCAACAGGTCACAAAAAAGCTGATTGAAAAAATATGCAACCTCGCCAGAATTCAACTATACAAAATAAAATTTAAAAATATTTTAGAATGTTATAAACTGTCCTAAATAAATAATCATGTACTTTTATATTATAAAATTTGTAGCAAATGATAATATGAAAATGATATATTTTAAAGATTAGGTAACTTTGAGCAAAGTTTAAAAGACCACAAATATTTGGGTAAAATAAGAGAGCATCTTCATTAACCTGTAACAATTATGAATCTTAATTCTTCTGTTCCTTACAGATTTAAACAGAGGGTTTTTTCTCTCAAGTTTTTTTCAGAGTTCCTCAACTGTTGGAGTTAAAAATGTTACTGTACCCTTTCTCATTTTAATACTTATCTATGATCTCAGCTTACCTTTAACTTAGCTAGTAAAGAAATTTCCCAGAGGGTTAACTCATTTCTTCAGAGTTCTAACTTTTCCTTTCTTATGGAATTTGACAGAAAGAGACCATCGTTGTATAGGTCCTGCATTTCCCAGAATAACTTCTGTGTGACAGAGTTTTTCAAATCAGCAGAAAAATTTCCTCTTCTGACCATATTTCTTTTTCATACCTATTCTTCTCCCTTTTTGTAACCAAAACTTATTTAAATCCAAATTCCCACAGCACACTTGGGCTCACATTGCATTTTCCCTTTAAAGCCATAGGAGGCTTTAGCTCACTTATAGGTCTACTTCTTGTTATTTAAGAAGACATGTCCTTTCATTTTAAAACAGATTAAAAAATACATTTAAACAGATACGTAAAATTGTTTCTTTCTCTATACCAACTAATGTATCCTCATAGTTGCACAAAAGAACAGATTTAATCTATTACTGCATTCTCCTAATTCAGTGCTCCCAGAGAATAAATTATGATATTCAGAAATGTCATTTCTTAGTAATATCATTAATTTAAACTTTTGATAAAACAATGCTACATATTTGAAAACAGATAAATATTTCTGATCTCACATTACTGACAAGATACTTTCAGTGATTACAAATAAACTCTCTGTGTTTTTAGTAGCTCAGTTATTTTTTTAAATTCCCATTATTTCAGAAACCACCTAAGAGTAAAACTACAGATTCTAAAAATAGTAAATAAAGTTGAAATATTCTTCTGTATTTTTCATTGAAATATTTTATGTCTATAATTTCTTTTAATTAGGAAAAAATTCTAATTTTCTTACAATAGAAAAATATTACCACTCCAGTCTCATTTTCTGTTAACCCTTCCCTGCCCATTATTATATCTAGCTACCTGAAATGCCCTGGGTTTTCCTTTGCATTTTACAGATTCTTAATCATTTTTCAAGATCAACTCAAAGTCCAATATAGAGCTATCATTAACAACCAGATTTGAATCATTCATTGCACTATCTGTGTTCCTTTAGGTCTTCATTCATACTACTTTCTACACATTAGTATCTTTTCTTGAAGTTTATCTCACATACATTTATATCTCCTTTCAGTTTGTCAGATTCTTAAGTGCAAGCATAATGTCATCTTTTACCTTTATATTTTCAAAGTCTGGCAAAGTTGCTGGTACAAAATAGATGCCACATGAACATTTAACGAAAAGATAAATCAGTGTTAAGATTAGGAACATAGGCAGAGCAGTAAGACCTAGACAGGAAGCAAAATACTTCAGCCGAGACAGGAGGAAAGGTTGTAAATACACAGTATTGCTCCTTTATAAAGAAGCTTTCACCATTTCAAGGGTGAGGTGAAAAAAATCTTGGGAAGAAAATTCATCAAATAATTATGAATTTGTTTTCAAAGCATTCATACTTCTGGTTTGGCCAAACTACAAATAGCTATGAATTGATTTCACAACATATCCTCTAAGGAATCAGGAAGAAACCAAGAAAAGCACGATTCAGAAAATCAGAGAATGGTTCAATAGGGTCATTAACATCTTATCTATTATCAGATCAAGCTGTCGTTAGAAAGAACAAATGCAGCTTAATCCTATTTTAGGACCAGAGTTGGGAAACAAGAAGCCTATGAAACCTTTAATATCTTTTGTATTAGTCAGAGTTCTTCAGAGAAACAGAACATATATATATATATATATATATATATATATATACACACACACACACACACACACACACACTATCTTATAAATATATAAACATTTATATGATACAAATATATCCTATTATTATAGGAATTTGTTATCTCGATTATGGAGGGCGACAAGTCCCACAGTCTGCCATCTGCAGGATGGAGAACCAGGTAAGTCAGTGGTATATTTCACTGTAAGTCCAAAGCCCTGATAAACAAGACCATCAGTTTCCAAAGCCTGGAGAATATAGATGCTCCAGCTCAAGAAGAGGGAGCAAATTTATTCTTCCTCTGCCTTTTTGTTCTATTCAGTCCCTCAGTGAATTGAATGAGGCTCACCCACATTGGGGAAGGAAATCTTCTTTACTCAGTCTACCAATTCAAATGTTAAGGGTCCATAAAGACCCTCATTTGACATGCCCAGAAATAATATTTACCAGCTATCTGGGCATCCCTTAGCCCAGTCAAGTTGACACATAAAATTAACCACCACAGTCTACAATATCCAAAAAGACATGTATCTTCTTCTTCCTCAAGGGCACTAAGTAAAGTCTTTCTTTAGTTGAAACATGTGAGTGGGCTAGGAATATTTTAGATAAACTAGTTCTTACACCTCAAGCTAGTCAGAAGCTGTTCTCCAGTGCAAGCAGTTGTAAGACTTTGAATGTATTCTGGTCAGAGTAAGCAGAATGTGAAAGTAAACACTTGAAAATTCTTACCCATGTTCCCCTTCTCCAAACTCCTGTAGCCTTTCCCTCTTTTGTAAACCAGTCTGTCTTCATATATATGTTAACATCATTAATTATATTCTAGTTCCTTTCACATTTAATCATATTTCAAACATATTTCTAGGCCTTATTCTTCCAAATTTGATGAATAAAATATACATAGATTTGATAATTTCATAAATTACATGAAGGTTTTAGTAATTTAACTCTTAAAATTTAACCTTATTTTTCTAGTTCTGAGATAATCTTGTGCTAGCCTTCGGTACACTACCTCTAAATCTCAGTGGGTTACACTAATTTTATCTGTACATGTCTAATATTATAAGCCTTTGTGAAAACTACAACTCGACAAAAATAAGGTCCTTAGGCAACTCCTATAACCATTATTCACAGACAGTCAAATCTACTCTTGTTGAAGTGGAAGATTTTTGCAAAAACTTGACATTGTCCAAACTAAGCAGCTTGTTTGGAGCCTGAAGTGTAGATACACAGTCATCATTAATTGAGAAGTCTTCTGAAATTTTTGTTGTTGTTGTTTAACTTTGACTTTCTAATCTTTAGAATTTTTTAATGACTCAGAGAGACATTATTTTCTGGGGCTTCAAATAAGGTAGCAAGCTTTTATAATATATTGGCTGTAAGCGCTATAAAGATAAGTTCTTTTAAAAACGCCCTACATCATTTCCCCAGAAGCCATACTTGATCTTCTTTCTCTCACAGCCCACATTCAAACCTCTTAGGAAATCCTGATGGCTCTGCCATCAAAATATATCCATAATCTGAATACTCCTCCCTCCCTACCCCGAGTGCTACCACTGGTCTAGATCCTTGTATTAGTCCGTTCTCAAGCTGCTAATAAAGACATACCCAAGACTGGGTAACTTAAAAAGGAAACAGGTTTCATTGACTCACAGTTCAGCATGGCTGGGGAACCCTCAGGAAATTTACGATCATGGCAGAAGGCAAAGGGGGAGCAAGGCTCTTTCTTCACAAGGAGGCAGGAAGGAGAAGTGCAAGCAGGAGAAATGCCAGATGCTTATAAAACCATCAGATCTTGCGAGACTCACTCATTATCATGAGAAAAGCATGAGGGGAACCGCCACCATGATTCAATTGCCCTTGACACATGGGGATTATGGGGATTACAATTGATGGTGAGATTTGTGTGGGGACACAGAGCAAAACTGTATCAACCCTCATGAATTACTACACCCTGAATTAATATAATTACCTCCCAAAAACTGCTTTGTTTTTATCCTTTCTTCCCTGTAGTCAACACAGAAACAAAAGAGATCATTTTCAAACATTGATTTGTTCTCTTCTGCTCAAAACTCTATAGTGGCTCCCTATTTCGGAGTAAAAGCAAAGATCCTTACAGTGGCCTACAAGGCTCTGCATGGTCTACTCCTCCATCCCATCCCCTGCATTACCTCTCTGGTCTCTTTCCCTGTCTCACTCCACCTAAACACATAGGCCTCCTTGTTCTTCTTCAAATATATCAGCCACTTGGCCACTTAAGACATACACATTGGTTGTGTCATTCATCTGCAATTATCCTTTACCTCTTTCAAGTCTGTATTCAATATCATCTCTTCAATGGGGCTACATGACCGCCTGATTTAAAATGGCAACTTTATCCTCTCTCTGGCACTATTGATCTCCCTTATCCTGCTCTGTCATCTCTTTCTCATAACACATCATCTTCTAATAAACTAAATAATTAGTTTCTTTATTGTTGACCCACCATCTCTACAATATAAGCTTCTTGAGAGCAGATATTTATCTGTTTTGTGTGGTGATATATCCCAACTACCTAGAACAGTACCTGGCTCATAGCAAGTGTTCAATACATATTTATGAAATGAAAGGATGGATGAAAATGTTCCTATTATCAGCTAAACCAGTTATGAATTTAGAGTTCTTTTGCATGTAACAAAAACATGATTGCTGTGGTTTATACAGGAGTTATTTTTTCTCATGTAGACAGTACCAGATTGCTTATCTTTAGACCCCATCACCCTTAGTATGGGGTTCCTTCCTTAGGTCCTTATGAGGGCTGCTGTACTTACAGACACTGTCCACTAGCTGAGTCTGTGCCTTTTCTGGATTCTTAGTCTAATGACTTCTGATTACATGTCATTGGCCAGGACAGGAACAATGGCATTTATAGCTGCAAGGAAAATTGTGGAGTGTCTATATTTTTTAATGGACATGTTGCATCCCATAACAGAAGATTAGAATTAACACATGTAAATGCTTAGAAAAATACACAACATAGAATAAATGGAGCATGTACATGTTAGCCATTACCATCATCTTTGTCTTTTTTTTTAATTCTGAAAGTGTTCTGTGAATATTTAGCCAATGAGAAAATTATAATGACTACATTGAATTAATAACAATATACTAAAGCTTTTAATTTATAAATAAAAGAATGATTAAAGTAGTTAAAATTCATTTGCTGTAAAGAACAAAATTGACAATAAGATCTGAGAGTTTAATTTTATGTAAAATCTACACATTAAATGCTACTTTGCTTTGAATCAGGTTAAGTGCACACAGATAAAGTCATACTTATGTATGTATTCTCAAATATTACTGATGTATTTATATGCAAATGCCTGTTATGCATCAAGAATTGTTCTAGGAACTACTCTATATTCTGTGGCCAAAACAGTAAAACCAAAAATGTCTTTCCAGAGTTTACATTCTAATCATAATAATGGTATGGAATTTATATTTTAAAAAACTCTATCTATAATCCCAACTCTCCAAATAACTTTCTAAATTAATTTACCTAATTCCTGAATATTAGAAAACTTCTAAAATAAACAACTTATTTAAAAATATGTTCCCCTGAGTTTGAGGCTGCAGTGAGCCATGATCATGCCACTGCACTCCAGCCAAGGCAACAGAGCAAGGCCCTGTCAAAAAATAAATAAATAAATAAATAAATCCTCTGTATCGTAAGTCTTAGATAAGAATATCATGCAAAGTGTATTTTCTTTCTCCATGTTACAGGATAAGCAGTCTATTTCTTCCAAATTTTATAAATAACTAGAGTTTATTTTGTATATGTATAGTGTACTTGCACATGTACACTAATATTTCATTTTGTTTTATTTTTAGCCTTGGTGTGCTATTCTTAACAAATTTATTTTGTTTAATTCATGTCTGTAAACATTTTATGTGTAAAGAACCTATTGATCTAGACCTAGAGAAATCATTTATTTGTAAAATTATTTTGCAGAGTCACAAATATTAAATAACATTCCTTTAAGTTACTCACAAATATATAGGATGAGTTTAGGAGTGGGGAGAAATGGAAAAAGGTAATTACATTTAAAAACCCATCATTTGGAATGAGCTGTTAGCTGAAACCAATCTGAAACTATTTTATATCTTACGTTAGGTCAAGTCTAAAATAGGGAACAATCATTTGGGAAGGAAATAAGCAACACAACTCAGAAATCCTATGAGAGAATTTTCAATAAAAAATTTATTTCAAATTACAGTATTTCTGTATTGTGGTGGGAAATCATCCTTACTAAGGTTATTTCTGGCTGTCAGGGACTTGGGCTCACTTCCTAGACCCCACTTGTACCCCAGGCTCCCTGTGCATCACTCCTAACACAGCAACCTTGGGCTCAGTCCCTTCACTTCTGAAAATTGCTGTTCTCATTATAGACCTATTTGGTGGAGATTGAAGGAGCTGTCTCAGCCCTCTTTTCAGCTATCAACTAGTACTTGCAGTTTCTGCTCACTTTTTGTTTTCTTCCCAGTCTTTGCTCATGATAGAAGCAAAGAGGTCAAAAAACAGCTCAATCGAAAACCTAGAATAAGGCTAATAGCCCAATTAGATTATGTTGTCAGACTTACAGCTTGAAATGTCAGAAAGTCTGAAGAACTGGTTAACCTATTACCTTTTCCCCAAACTGTTCACAAAATTGCAGTGTTTCAATCACAGGTATAAATCCTGGATCTCTCAGACAAAGAGTTCAACCACAGTAACAATGCTTTAAATAACCACCGTTTTTTTTTTTCTGTTTTATTTAATACGGTCATTGACTACATAACATATATGTATTTAGTATGGATGTCCATTCTGCTTGAGGTGGAAATAAATTTTTGCAAAATACTTTACCCTTTTGGCACTGAATTTTGTGGAGATTCAGTACATAACACATATGTTCATGTCTCTACTGACCATTTCCAATTAGGACAATTCAGAGTACTTCTTTTAGTCAAAGCCTTTTAAATAACCTTTCTGGTTCTTTATTTCTGCTAAAAATAGTGTGTGTGTGTCTGTGTGTGTGTGTTTAATGTTAACTGAAAACTATTAGAAATAATAAGAATATTTAAAAAGTCGTAGGTTACGTAATTAACATTAAATATAAATAGCTTTCCAATATTTAATCAGTAGCCATATAGAAAATCTAATGGGAGAAATAATCCCATTTGTAAGAAAAATTAAAATATAAAATACCCGTAACCTATAAACTTATAGGAAATATACATAATCCATATGTCTAAAACTTGCAAACTATACTAAGGAATTTTTTTTAAAAGACTTAAATAAATCATAATACACACTATGTACTTCTACACTATGAAGATAAAAGTGTAAAGATGTCATTTCTCCCCTAAATTATTCAATAATTTAAATGCAGTAACAATTAAAATACCAAAAGGATTTCTCTTTCAACTAGACAAAATTATATAAGAATAATCTAGAAAAATAAACATGTAAGGATATTAAGAAAATTCTAAAATTGAAGAGTGAAAGTGACTAGCCCGACTAGCTCTTAAGATGCCATGTAGCTTCAGTAATTAAACAGTTTGGTACTTGAGAAGAACAGATTATTAAAGTCATGAAATAGACCAAAATACATATAGATATTACCTTTATGTCAACGTTGTGTTTCAAATCAATGTGGAAAAACTTCTGTTTAATGAAAACTAAAATTATAACCATAAACAGAGTCAAACAACACACAAGAAAAGAAATTTTTTTTTTTTTTGAGACGGAGTCTTGCTGTGTCACCCAGGCTGGAGTGCAGTGGCGCAATCTCGGCTCACTGCAAGCTCCACCTCCCAGGTTTACGCCATTCTCCTGCCTCAGCCTCCCACGTAGCTGGGACTACAGGCACCTGCCACCACCCCTGGCTAATTTTTTTGTATTTTTTTTAGTAGAGACGGGGTTTCACCGTGTTAGCCAGGATGGTCTCGATCTCCTGACCTTGTGATCTGCCCGTCTCGGCCTCCCAAAGTGCTGGGATTACAGGCGTGAGCCACCGCGCCCAGCAGAAAAAGATATTTTTAACATGCAAAAAAAGATTAATTTCATTAATTTACAAAGAAATCATACATAGGAATCAGTAAGGAAAAGATGAAAAAAATCAGAGTGGACAATGGTAAAGATATGCTTGAGTGTTTCAATAGACAAGAAATACAAATTGCCAATTAGCAAGTAAAATTTTCAATCTCAAGTTAACAATTTAAGAAATACAAATCTAAAAAATTTTACAAATAAGATTGACAAAAATGTAGAAGTCTAACGATATCCAATGCTGGTAAAGATTTGAGACGAGGACACTCTTACATACTGGTTGTAGAGGTACAAATTGATTTAAGCTTTCAGGAGGGTATTTGGCAATATCGATCCAAATTTTAAAACCACATACTTTTTGGCCAGAAATTTCTCTGCTAGGCATTTACCCAGTGGAATGTTTGCAAAAGTGCAACAAGATATATGTGCTAGAATCTCTGTGGAAGATTGGTTTAAAATATTAAGCTACAATCATATAATGGAATATGGAGTCATTTATAAAGAATGAGGGGGATTTATATATGCTAATAAGGATATAATTCTAAAATATAAAATTCTTAAGTGAATTTTCAGATGAGGAACTATATGTATGAGTGTATTTATATTACATATAAATATTATATATAATATTTTGTGAGAGAGAAAGAGAGAGGAATCTTTTCTTTTTCTGGAAGAAAGAAAGGAAAAAAGTGCCTGTGATTACTTAGACAAAAAGTACCGGGGTTGTAAGTGAAGGTATTTGGAAGGAGATAGAAAACGAAAGCTTTCCCCTTGCAGTTTGTATCTTTCTATACCACATAGATTTTCCTTATCACATTCAATTATTTATTTAACATATCAATGCATTACCTAGGTGACAAAATTTTAGGGCAGTATTTACTTTCATTATTTTATTTATCTAAATTAAAAATGAAACAAAAATTAATGCTATTTTAACATTTCAAATAAATTGCTTTACATTGTCTATAATTCACTCTAAAATACTGCAGTATAGACAATATGATAGATTAGTTTCAGTTTAATCTTGCCCTAGGTAATTATCATTTGAAGTATACTAATCAGGAAGATCTACTTCAGGGGCAGTTAGTTAGCATTGACCCAAACCTGCAATCCAGAGGCTGCTACACCAGGCTTTCAAGTACGATATTTTATCTCTGGTCAACACCAAAGGCTTTAGATGTTAAAAGTGATTTTCACTGGTGAAATGAATGATGCTCAGATGCATGCATTGGTTAGAAATAATGTACAGATTTTCCCACCTTTGAATGAATAGCTTAGTATCTAGGCAACTAATGTCCTAACACTTCTGAATAAAGCCCCAGCTTATAAGTAAATTATTTGGCTGCCTGATGGAGGATTTTTGTCACCTGACTCTGTTAAAAGCTTAGCTGTATTTGATACTGAAACATACATTTGTCTCTATTGATGTTTGTATGCAAGTTTCTGTTAGAGTGACTAAAATGATACAGTTTGCAGAACAGGTTTTATGACTTTTTTTCAATAAACATTGCTATGAAATCTTCGTATGTGCAGCAAATTTGGTCTGAGACTCGTTTTCATTGTAACATATCATCTCATAGTGAAGTTATGGAGGAGGAAACCTACAGCCCTCACCTAAATTTGAATTATGGGAAGTCACTTCACATATCAACCCCAAAAAGATGAGTTATTGTGAATGACCAAATTATTTTAGATGAGCGTGCAACAAATTTATAATACAAGTATTAAGGGTAGTAGCTACAAGAAGAGAGCTTAGAAGCAATCTCAGCATGGTATACTCCCGCTCGGTTATCATACCTTATCTCCAGAAATATAGACCTGGCATTAGAAATTTAAGATTTGATTATGGCATCTTTATATTTTTTATTAAGCTTATAGAATTGTCTATTCCCCCCAACTTTCCTGTGTCATTTGAGATCACTATCATATTTCCAATTCTCCACCCCAGTGAGCATTTTTGCCTGGCATGTTGGCAACTTTTCTCTGCAAATATGAAAGTATTCTGCTGGTTTCTCAATGAGCAACGCCCAAGGACTTGTTTAGGGCCTTTCATCATTCTGCCAAAAGCCATGATAAAATCTGTTGACTGCAAAAAAATCCTGAATTCACAGTCAAAATATAGTCCTTCATAACATAAATTTCTGTTTTTATTCCAATTATCTTCATTTAGCACTGCCAGGATACCCACATTACCTGAAATAACAGTTGCATTTTTTGGACAAAGTTTATTTTCTCACCAGTTTTATTCCTTGGGCATGTGCCACTTTTTAATTCCTATGCAAAAATTTAAATCATCTAATCATTTATTAATTAACTTTTAGAATTTCATCCATTTAGGTCTGTTTTAAAAGATGTTCATTCTTTAAATATAATATAGTTCCAAGAGTAGTTAAAATAAGTTTGAATATCTTGCCTTTGCAAATCTAAATCTTCTGTGTGCTTCCCAGGTAGTTTATGTTGGTATACCACTTTGGCATTATCAATTTAAGTTATATTTAGAGCTCCTCAGTCTCATAATATCCTTCCCTATGTCCCTTAACAAAATTCTGACTAAGAATATTAAATATACATTATTTAATCCTCAAACAAGACATCATCATCTATATTACAAATTAACTCCTTGATTGGGAAAAATTACGTGAGACTATTTTATTCTTCTCACCTGGAAATGAAACTGCTCATCTTGCCATGAATTTTACACTGTGCCCTCAGATCACCTGATACCTGTGAAAACAGTTCTAATTACTAGAAACACAAAATATGCGAAAGATCTCAGGGACAGTCTGGTTCAGTACAGTTATTTTAAAGGAAAATTGTGTTTCTCAGAGAGGTTTAACAGGTTGCTCAGGGTTATTTAGCATGTCGGTGACAAAGGGAAACCAGAACCCAAATTTCCTGACTCTAGCCCATTTCCCCCAAGGATATCACACCACTTTCTTCTTCAATTAACTGATTAACTAAGGTTTTTTTCATGAACAGTCTTGAAAAGCCAACATGTCAGCAATTAAGAGTATGGTGAAATTGAAATAAAATCCATATGGAAATTTCAAACTCCATTGTTTAGATCTAGACAGATACCCTAAAGAACAACATTAATTCCTTGTCACCTTTAACAACAACAAAAATAATACCTGTTTTATGCTTTGTCCTTCATATTCCCAGATTAAGGGAGGTGTGAAATTGATGGTGTTATTCCTTTTTTATTTCTTTGTAGTCATCATATAAAATTAGAAACCCTTAAAATCTTTCTCTGATTGAGCTCCCCTGAAGCATCCTTTTCAAGTTTCATTCTTTGTGTTTCACATTTCATTCCTCATTTTGCTTCTAACCCTAAAACTGTCAACTTCTTTCCCTGTCCTTTCCTCAATGTTAAATTAACAAATGATGGGCAAATAGGTTCATAAATAGGTGAAATTATAAAGTACGCTCTTTCACTCTGAAGCCAAGATAATTTTTCAGTTATATACATTTAATGCTTTCTAGTAATTGGCAAAGAATCTGAATGGTGCTGCATTCAAATGAATAAATGACTCCATAGCATGAAATAGTATGGTAATAATATGGGATATGCTACCCAGAAAAAGTAAGGATTTTATATCTACCAAATTATGGACAAAATCTAACATCTGTTACAATCATGAAAGGTGTGGGTTAAAAGTTTTTTTCAAAATTAACTAAAATATATAATGTCTTAGAAATGCCTAAATATTGTTGAATATTACCAATTAACTTTTTTTAAATTTAGCTTGGCATTTTCTCATTTCCTTTGACAACATGTTTTGTACCGAGCTTTTTAGTGCCCTTCTTTTAAAAACTCAAGGTAGTTTACCACCTACTCTGCACTGTCAATGCACTCTCATTTCTCACTCTGTAGTTCTCATTTCTTATTCTTATGGTGTGGTTCTTTGTTTTTTTTTTTTTTCAAGTACCAGATTTGCAAGTAGAAAGATCTGTGTTTCTAAATGCATGGGACATGATACACTTGGAGAAGTGACTACCAAAGAGGCATGTTTATAACTGAATTCAGACACAGGGGAATGAAAGACATTGTCAATTTTTATTTATTTTTTTATTCTTTGAGTAATTATCTCTGTGGTCACCTTCTATGAACCATAATTTCCTTATCCATACAACAAAGATCCAAAATACATCATCTAAGTTCTAATTATAGGAAATTAAAGCAGCTACTTCAATGTCTATCCTATAACATAGCATAGTAACATAATCAGGTAATGTTATTCAGCAATTTGTTAGCCCACAACACTCCCCTTTCCTGTTGCCTGCCCGAACTCAGGTTTGGAATAAACATACATTTCCAAAAAGCCCATAAAGATGTAATCATGAGATTTTCTACTCTGGTAGCAGGTCGACAGATAATGAAGTCATAGTCTCTTTAATTGTAAAACCACAACACATGATATGACAGGCACTGTGATAAGCCTAACGCCTTACTATATTCAGGATTTGGAAGATGAAATTAAGTAGATATTCTTTGAAATTGCTGTTCCCCAATACATTTAAATACACCTTCTCCCCCTTGGATTTTCAACTATTTCCTTCATATGGCTATAAAAGAATAAAAACTGACAGATTTGTATTATGCTACAACATATAGTAGAACTCTGAGTAAGTAAGACATCATATATTAGTATTATAACATTATATAATCATAAAATTGGGTTATAGACTCTTGTGATGACGTATTTATTTTACTTACCAACACTGGCATCCAGTCATAGGAACTGAACTGTAAAGTAAAAGTGACCCTCCTTGACAAGAGTAAACACAAGGAATTAAGACGAAAGATGCCTTAGTTTATGTAATGTTTGGATTCCAGTGATTATTATTCTGAAAATAATCTTGAGTGGCACATTTGACGTTTTCTGAAGCCAAAGTAAGTTTGATGTTAGATATTGAAATGCAATGATTGAGAGAGTTCATTGTCAGGTTTTCTATTTTTTCTAGAAAATTTTAGAGTTATTCAAGAAATCTTAAGAATCAGTTCTCTTAGATGTGATTCTAAGGCTACCTGTCTTCTTATTTGTGAATACAGATGATTTTAAAACAAAGAGGAAAGGGAGAAGATGGAAAAACTTACGAAAAAAATAGTATTATCTGGTTAAAGAATCTTAAATAGCCATTAGTTATAAATCCTAAAAATTAACGTCATTAATAATGAATAATCAAGAAGATTTAAAACTTGGTATATTAGTCTGCTCAGGCTGCCATAAGAAAATACTACAAACTGGTGGTTTAAACAATAAAATTTATTTTCTCTCAGAAGTCTGTGATCAGGATGCCAGTAAATTCAGTTTCTGGTGAGGGCTGTCTTCTTGGCTTGCAGATGGCTGCCTTCTCAAAATGTCCTCAACATGGTCTTTCCACTGTGCATGTGTATATATAGAGAAAAAGCTCTTGCATCTCTTTGTCTTCTTTTTTTTTTTTTTTTTTTTGAGACGGAGTCTCGCTCTGTCGCCCAGGCTGGAGTGCAGTGGCACGATCTCGGCTCACTGCAAGCTCCGCCTCCCGGGTTCACGCCATTCTCCTGCCTCAGCCTCCCGAGTAGCTGGGACTACAGGCGCCCGCTACCACGCCCGGCTAATTTTTTGTATTTTTAGTAGAGACGGGGTTTCACCGTGTTAGCCAGGATGGTCTCGATCTCCTGACCTCGTGATCCGCCCGCCTCGGCCTCCCAAAGTGCTGCTCTTTGTCTTCTTATAAGGACATCAGTCCTATGAGATTAGGGTTCTACCCTTGTGACCTTATTTAACCTTAATGATTTTTTTTAAGGGCTCTTCTCCAAATACGTTGGGATTGGGCAGCACAAAATGAATTTGGGGAAGGGAAGAACACGATTCCATTCATAACATGTATCTTTTGGAATACCCCCAAAATATTGGCTTTTCTACTTCAGGTCAAGCATTTCATGATAATTGTTATAAAATGTTTACTAATTGTGATAATCACAGAAAGTTAATTTTTAATTCACAAGACCATCTCAGTATTATCATATTATAAGAATTTTATGCTTTGCCCCCAAGAAAAACAATGCAGAAAGATTGTAACACAATATATTTAGCATATTTATGTTGAAAGGAGAATGTGAATGGGTCTGCTCCCTTCTTTAAGTAAGCTCAGTCCCCCTTCTTGGGACTATGCCTTTCATAATTCTTGCTACGTTATAAAGAAGGATTACAAGATGGGCTCACATATAGGGAAATTTCTCCTTATAATAATGGTAACAGTACAGGAATAGCAGAGTAGCTAGTATCAGACTAAACCTCTTGTAGACATTAATTACAAACTCTTGTAAACATTAATTACAAATTACAAGAAAAAAATACAAACACATACACAACTATTTGAAAGCATTATAAAATGATCAAAAGCAGGTAGGAACTGAAAAGGAATTCAACTCTTGAAAGGAGAAACGGCACTCAATAAGATCCATATTTATATATATTTTCCCCTAAGGCCATAGAGCAATTAGAACACAAACAGAAAGCCACATTTTTATTGGCTTAAGTATCAGAGGACAGAATTTGAGGATGCTGATAATTGGAAACTTTGTAAATAAATCCACAAAGGAGGGTGCCATAGAGAGGCAAGACTTAAAATCTTGATATAGACTAGTTTTAAACTTTTGGATAACCCCAAACTGCACATGTCTAGGGCAGAGTCCAAGGAAGACAGGGAACGGCAATGGAAGTAAGGTTTTAAAAGCTGGGCAAGTAATCTAGCTGTTGACTACATCATAGAAAATGGATTTTGAAGTTTAACTTTAGTCCAGTTGAAGGGGCTTAGTAAATGCCTCGAGCTTTCCATTGAAATACCAGAACAATCATAATTTTTGATTCTAATAATAGTCTACTTTCTATCATTGAATTATATATCCTAAGACTAAGAGCAAAGCTAAACACTAAGATTATGGGTAAAACCTTCCCTAACAAAGTATAAAATGCAAGCCTTGACAAGTTCAAGGTGATCAGCTAGTAACTTCACTGACTGGGCACATAAAAATTAACACTTCTCAGAGAGATATTTAAAAATCCTAAGTCTCTATAATGCATCATTCACAGTGTGCACTCAAAAAGTACTAGACATGCCAAGAAATAAAAGAGTAAAACCCCTATTCAAAAGAAAAAAGAATCAATAGAAAAAGGTCTCCAATTGGCCTGGATGTTAAAATTAGCAGGCAAGGACTTTAAAAGAAATAATCATAAAGATGTTCATGACTTAAAGAAAAGGATTATCAAAATGAGTGAACAGATGGGCAAATCTCAGCAGAGAAACAAAATTATATAAAAGAACCAAATAACAATTCTATGACTTTATTAGTCATCAGGGAAGTGCAAATTACAAACACCATGAAATACCATTTCACACCCTTAGAATAGCTACAATTTAAAAGGTAGCAACACCAAGTGTTGGCAAGGATGTAGAGCAACCAGAACTTTCATACACGGCTAGGAAGAGTAAAAAAGATAAAGCCACTTTGGAAACAAGTTTTGTCACTTTCTTATAAAGTAAAATATATACCTATCCTAGGAAATCCCAACTTTTCCACTCTTAGATATTTATTAAAAAACAAATAAAAAAATATGTCTACATAAATATTGCAAACAAATGTTAACAGAAACAACTCAAATGTTCATTAGCGGGTTATTAGATAATTAATTATGATCTGTTTATACAATGGAATACTACCCAGCAATAGAAAAAGAATGTACTATTATACAACAACATGAATAAATATGAAAGACATCATGTTGTTTGAAAGAAGCCAGATGCAAAGGAGCACACTGTATCCTTCCTTTTATAAGAAGTTCAACAATAAACAAAATATCCCTATACTGACACAATCAGAATATTGATTGCATATGGGGAGCAGAGATTGATTGGAAGGGACATAGTGTAACCTCCTGGAATGATTAAAAAATGTTCTATATCTTGTTTAAATTGATGCTTACATGGCTGTATTCATCTATTGAAACTCACCACCATGTATGTATATTTTATCTGAATTTTAAAAATGGTATCAGAAAGCATCTGCAGACTATATATTCACTTATAAAATTTAAATTCCTGAAGACCATTAGAGAATATGAACCCACTGCATTTAATTACTCTCCATGAAAAATCATTGCTGTATATAGTTGTCCATGTGATCAAACATAAATACTAAATATAGAAAGCAATGTGAATACAAAAAAAGAAAAAGGAACAAGAAATTTTCCAGTCTTACAAAATAGTGCTTACTTGGGAAAGGGAAACTACAGATATTTTCTGTTCCTTGTTAAAATTCTTTTTGCCTTCAGAAATTTACATTATAAGTGGGAGAGAATTCAAATTGTTCCACTCCTTTGGAATGGGTTCTGGGTCCAGCTAAGCAGAGTAAATTATTATAACATAGCATTTTAAATTGCATATTCATTGTATCCTAAAATCTTATAAGTTAAAAAAATAGTGACAAATTGAAAGTTAACTCACTTATATTCTGATTTTTAAAAAGTTGTCACTAGAGGTACATGATTTTTAAAAAAGACAATAAGGAGTGTGTGATTCTAAAGCAACTGTTCTCAACCCTAGCTATACAATAGAATCACCTGGCCACATTATAAAATACTATTTACCAGGACTTGAGCCTTATTAATTAAAGCAGAATCTTTATGAGGAAAGACTTTTTTTCTATTTTATTTACTGTTACATCCCCAGAGCTTAAAACAGTGCCTGGCACATAGTAGGCTCAATGAATATTTGATGAATGAATGAATGAATGAATGAATGAATGAATGATAAACAAGTTTTTGAAAGCCAAGGAATCATTTTGGTCTTATACATAATGGCAGAATTCCTTTAGGTGATGTAGAATGAAGGAATGCCAAGCTGTTATTTTATTAAAATGTTTGATAATTTGTGTTAACTTTAGCTGAAAATTAAGTTTTTATTGAAATTTCCTATGGATCAGGTTTCATGCTAGAGTAAGGTTTATAAATGTGAAAAGACGTGAACGTGCATTTGGGAAATTCCCAGTCTATTATGGATTAGTGGCAAAGAGAAAGTCTAGCATATAAGCATTCACCCATTAATCCATTGATTAGCACTTATTTATTAAGTGCTTATTATGTGCCATACACATATGTGCTAGGATACACTGTGGCAAACAAGACAAATATAATACCTGTCCTCAAGCAGCTTACTGTTTAGTAAAGGAGAAAGATAATAAATAAGGAAACAAATAATAAAATTTTTGATGAATTTGATGACCTAAATGAGTACAATGGTGTTATGTATTAACAGAATTTTGGTCAGGTGGAGAGCACTATTTTATATTGGATGGTCAGAAAATACCTCTCTAGGGAGGAAACATTTGTGTGGAGACATTCACGATGAAAAGAAGCCAACAAAGCAAAGTGCTAAGGGGAGAGAGTTTCTAGCAGAAGAAAAAATATGTTCAAAATAGTTGAAGTAGAAAAGAACTTGGCATGTTCAAGGACCTGAGAGAATCCAATTGCTGGAACATAAATAGAAAGTAGAACAAGTTGAAAGTGGAATAAAAGGTGGGGTTATAAAATGCACAGCCTGGTAGGCCATGGTAAACAGTTTGAATTTTATTAAGTACAACATGAATCTATTAAATAGTTTTAGGCAAAGAAATGGCATGTTGCAATTTGTGTACTTAAAAGATTATTTCTTTTTCCATATGTAGAATAGACTCAAGTGTGGACAAAAGTGGAGGCTTGTAGACTAGTTAGGAAGCCTTTGCAGAAGTCCAGGTGAGAGATGATAGAGGCAATACATTGCTGCAATCACTGTGGCAAAGGGGAAAAGTGAGCAGCTCAGAATATATTTGGAAGGAATTGTTAGGACTTGGTGAGGGATTGAGTGGATGAAAGAGAACGAAGAATCAACATGAACCCCAGAGTTCTGGCTTATACAAATGGAAGGATTGAGGAAATATCTGCATAGATGAGAAAAAATATGTCAACTCCACCATTTAAAATTTGGATAGAAAAGGAACCAACTAGGAGTAACCAGAGAGGGAGGAAAAAAAAAACCCTAGAGCATGAGGAATCTCAGAATCTAAAAATCTCCCTTAAAAACTAGAGTATTTCAAGAAGGAAGAAGTGATCAAATACGCTCAGTGGTGCTAAGCAGCTAAGATAAGGGCAGAAAAGAATCCCCTGAATATGGCAAAATGAAGATTATCGGTAATCCTAACTGAAGCAATTTCAGTAGAGTGAGTGAAATAAAATTCAGATAGGAGTAGGCTTAAAAGTGAATGGGAAGCAAGGCAGTTGAAGAAGCTGAAGTAGACAACTCTTTCAAGTTTAGTTTTGAAGGGAAGCAGAAAAGTGAAATGAGAGCTGGAGGAAACTATTACTGAAGAGGAGATACCAGAGAATATTTGTGCATTGATGGGAATGCTCTAGTATAGACAAAAAGATCGATGATTCCGGGAAAGAGGGACCGTCAATTAAGAAGTCAAAGAGAGGAGCATAGTATATTAGGATGTTCTCAAAAGAATGTGACACCGACTCACACCAGTCAGAATGGCTACTATTCCCCCCACCCCACCCCACCCTGAGACGGAGTCTTGCTCTGTCGCCCAGGCTGGAGTGCAGTGGCATGATCTCGGCTCACGGCAACCTCCGCCTCCTGGGTTCAAGCGATTCTCTTGCCTCAGCCTCCCAAGTAGCGGGATTATAGATGCCTGCCACCACGCCTTGCTAATTTTTGTATTTTTAGTAGAGTTGCAAATAACAGAGGTATACATAGGTGAACTTAACAACAAAAAATAAATAAACAATAAACTTAAGGGGGCTGTTCAATAAAAGGGTACAGGTATACTATAGAATCCAAGAGTGGGAATACAATGACAACCTGAGAAGAGGCTAGAATATTGCCAGTCCTTTGTCAATAATTTATCCTTTTCTTTCCCAGTCTGTTTCCTTCTTCTCCATTCCACATATTATAATGTGGCAACTACATAACTCATAATTATAGTCTTTATAGGGGGAGAATAATTGACTCCATTCAAGTGTTCGCTCCTGTTTCAATCAACTATGGCTGAAGAGTGAGGAGACATTTGGAATAAATATGGCTTCTGGGGGCCCATTCCTATGGATCAGCAGCTGGCTTCTGGAGGCCCATTCCTGTGAATCGTCGATCTCATAGAAGATAATATTGTTAGAAGGTAGGTAGGCAGTTCTCAAACTGTGAAGCTATTGGAAGGTGTTTTTGTTTTTGTTTTTGTTTTAAGCATGGCATGGAAGGAACATGCTCAAATCCATCATTTAAAAAAGAGAACTCCAGCAGCAATATGAATAATAGATTGGAAGGGAGATTAACCAGATTCAAAGAGGTAAGCCCAATGAGAAAACCATTAAGAAAAGTTACAAGCAAAAAATAAGAGACTATTTTTTGTATTGGGAGAGTAATAGTAGCAATGGAAAGGCATGGGCAGATACTGAACACATTTCAGAGGTTGAATGGACCATATTTGAATATAAGTAGTGAGGAAAGGTGTAAAGGAAATGAATACTTCAAGATTCCTAGCTTGGGCAATAGGATAGATAGGATTGCTGAGAATTGAGACAAGGAAAACAAGAAAAGAAAATACGAGATTGGAGAGGGCAATCTTGAGCCTGAAAAGTTACAGTACATTCAATGTCAGATCCAAAGCTTCAGAATGTTGAGTAATCAGTATTTGAGAGATACATAGGTAATAGTTGGTGCTTCAGGATCACATAAGATCATTCAGAAAATTCATGTAGAGTGAGAAAAGAGAGTAGTTTGCTCAGAAAATTCCAGCAGAAGAGATGGTACTAAAAGAAAGATAAAGAGCAAACAGAGACACATGGGAAGAATAAGAGCTGCATCTTAGAAGCCAAGAAGGAGTTTTAAGAAGAAGGAAATGATAAACAATCAAATTCTGCAGAAAAGAAAAGTAGGATGAGAGCTGAAAGAGGCTAACATATTTGACAATCACATCATTGCTGACCTTTCTCGAAGCAATTTCCGCAGAGTTGCGGGGGTGAAAACCAGGTTGCAGTGGGCTGAAATTAGACCGAGAGACAAGGAAGTGGAAGCAATGCCTATGACCTACTCTTTCCAAAACGGTGTCAACTGAAGTATATACTGCTAGATAATGGTTTATTCTGTTAAAATTTATTTTATCACTATATTGTTTGGACTAAAACTAGATCATTAAAAAGCTCGAATTGAACCATGGACTCCTGACTTCCACATTTCTAGAAGTCATCTTGCCTGCAGGCAAATTAATTCTATAGCCTTCTGTAGACATAGCTCCAATAATATATCTCATCCTTATTTTCAGTGGTATTCATGGTATTTATTTTCAGTGGTATTCATGGTATTGTCTCCCACCATCTTTCCCTTTTACTCCATCTCAGCTCTCAGACACATGACATTTTTGCCAATCTCATTACAACTTGTGCTCATTTTCTCAAGTTTCCTATCAACTGGGGTAATTGCTTCCTACAAAACCCACTCTCCTATTAACTGGCTCATTACCTTGAGTTAAAAGTTCAGAAACTTCTTCAAAGTGAAATCACTGTAGAGTCCTGAAAAGAAACTACTTTTGAAGTTACTGACACATGTGTATGCCAAGACAATTCTTGGGTTGTATTCAATGATTTACAGACCCAACCCATTCCTTGTTAAGTTTCTATCAGCATCAATTTTCCTCCTTCACTATAATGGTACATTTATTACTCTCCAAGTCATAATAGTAGACATATAGAGTAGAAGAAGACAAAATCAGTTAATGTGTTGATCACAGCGCTATGTTGATAGAGCTAATGTGGTTCAGAAAAGAAATACTATTAAAGTTCCTCTAGTTCTCTCTCCAGCTGAAGACAATTAGCTTAATAACCATTTCTACTCATTATTTCCATGCTAACTAGTTTTATCTTTGCATTTTTTAGGCTTACCTCATTGATGCTGAACATCCTAAAAAGCTTCTGCTGCTTTGAGTCACTGAAAAAGACCAAGAAACATGAATTTAAAAAAAAATTTCAAATGTTATAAAATAAATAATATGAACTCATTATACCTACAATGAATAATTTAAATTCTTCTTTGGTAGTCCAGGTAAATAACTTCTCAAATAGATTTTTTTAAGCATCTGTATAAGTTCAAGATGTACATCACTTCATGTAGAATAACATCTCCTAAAAAGAACTGAAATGCCTCAGTATACAACCAGCTGACCTGGCTATCAAACACTTATTTAGCACATATTACATGATGGACACTTTGATGTAGATACGGACCTTGGGTTGTGTCCTCAAGGATCATACAGTGGGTTGAGGAAATAGGATATGCTATCCATAGGAAAGTAAATAATAATATGACAGCTTATTTTCAATGAGAAGTGAATAGTACAAAGAATAGGAGTTGCCAGATTTCAAAAGGAAAGAGCTATCACACAGAGGCGGAACAATTAGAAATTTTTCATGAAGGAAGTGTTCTTTGTGCTGGACCTTTGAGAAAGTATAGAATGTAGATTAGCAAAAAGGCATGGAAAAGGCATGATAGGTAGGAGAGGCAAGTTAGGCAAAGGTCCATTAGAATTGCTCAAGATATAATAGACCAACTTGGCCTGAAAAAGGCCTGGAAGTATCCTCTTTTGTGCTCTGTGAGAAGTTTGCCACCATGTAAAAAGTCTAACTACCCTAAGGCAACCATGCTCTGAGAAGCCCAACCTATCCAGGTGGAGAGGTCCTGTAGAGAATTGAGGCCACTGGCCCTGAGCTCCCAGTTGAAATAGACAATATCAACATGTCAGCAGGGTGAATGAGACCATCTTGGAAGTGGGTCCTCCAAGAGTAGTTGAGCCATCCTGCCTAAATTTCAGCATTTTGAGCAAATAAATGATTTATACCATTTTAAATCACTATATTTTTGAGTGAATCACTGACTTTTTTCTCAATTAAGCATAGGTTTAGAAACTATGAAAACCCTAGAAGAAAACCTAGGCAATGCCATTCAGGACATAGGCACGGACAAAGATTTCATGACGAAGACGCCAAAAACAACTGCAACAAAAGCAAAAATTGACAGATGGGATCTCATTAAACTAAAGAGCTTCCATACAGCAAAAGAAGCTACCATGAGAGTGAACAGACAACCTATAGAAAGGGAGAAAAATTTTGCAATCTGTTCATCTGACAAAGGTCTAATATCCAGCATCTACAAGGAACTTAAATAAATTTACAAGAAAAAAACAAACCCATTAGAAAATGGGCAAAGGACATGAAAAGATACTTCTCAAAAGACATACATGTGGCCAACAATCATACAAAAAAAACCTCAACATCACTGATGATTAGAAAAATGCTAATCAAAACCACAACGAGATACCATCTCATACCTGTCAGAATGGCTATTAATAAAAAGTTAAAAAACAACAGATGCTGGTGAGGTTGTTGAGAAAAAGGAATACTGTTATACTGTTGGTGGGAATGTAAATTAGTTCAACCATTGTGGGAGACAGTGTGGCATTTCCTCAAAGACCTAGAGGCAGAAATACCATTTGACTCAGCAATCACGTTACTGGATATATACCCAAAGGAATATAAATCATTCTATTATAAAGATACATGCATGCGCATGTTCACTGCAGCATTATTCACAATAGCAAAGACATGGAATCAACCCAAATGCCCATCAATAACACACTAGATAAAGAAAATGTGGTATATATACACCATGGAATACTATTCAGCCATAAAAAGGAATGAAATCAAGTCCTTTGCAGGAACATGAATGAAGCTGAAGGCCATCATCTTCAGCAAACTAACACAGGAACAGAAAATAAAATACCACATATTCTCACTTACAACTGGGAGCTGAATGATGAGAACATATGGACACATATAGGGGCACAACACACACTGGGGCCTGTTGGAGGGTGCTGGGGGGAGGAGGCAGAGCATCAGGAAGAATAGCTAATGGATTCTGGGCTTAATACCTAAGTGATGAGATGATCTGTGCAGCAAACTACCATAGTACATGTTTACCTATGTAACAAACCTGTACGTCCTGCACATGTACCCCTGAACATTAAAAAAGTGTGTTTAAATTGTGAGATAAGGATTCAAGAGGGCCTCTTGCTTCACTATTGTTCACTTTCCTAGCTTTAAGTTTTCTCTTCTATTTATCATAAGTATTTATCCTTAAATGCCATGTCAAATGATGACTGGTTAATTAATTATTATTATTTTTTAGTTCAAAGGGTCCCTTCTAATGTTATTTATCTTTTAACAAGGGAAGACAGGAATATTTTCAAGATCCAAGTATTTAAAAAGGTGGAAGTGAGATAGGATCGGGGTTTGGAATGAAGTAGAAAGAAAAGGAAACATGTAAAAATGTAAAATCACCATGTAGGAGCCCAACATATCCAATATAAGCTATACTGCTTTGGGTTATCTAGCTCATAATTTTTCTTTGCCTAATTTCTCTACTTAGAAATACCATGTCACTTACGGTGTGTTTTTAATTGAGGAAAGTTAATTACTAACTATTGTTTTGTAAAACTCATATGCCAATTTATTCTAGGCTAAAATCAACTTGGCAGATAATTATTTTTAAATAACAAACAAAAGACCTTTCCTTTCTGATGCTTTTCCCAAAACATGCAATATAAACCAAAGAGTAAAACAAAATAATGTGTTACACTTCTCTTCAACTAGTCTACCATCACTTCTGTTTAACTGGTTTGATACATTCATGAAAAATTTCCTTTAAAAGACATATTCTTCTAAAACTAATTTAAAATAAAACTCTTATTAATATTTTCAATTCCTACCACTATCAATTATTTGGAATTAGACCAGGTTAAGAATTTAAAACTTTGCCTATCATTTTGTATTTTAAAGTCATGGGTATTGATAAGGGACTAATATTTAGGAATTATTTTATGTCTTTCATTTCCTTATCTTCTCAGTTAACAGGTATGCTGAGCCTTTGCTATTTTCACAATAAACTGATTACTTGGTTGATTTAGGTAGCAAAAAAGATAATGAACCTGTATCAAATTTCTACTTACATTATTTTATGCATAGTAAATAAAAATTTCATTGCTGTGCATCCTCTTACTAGTAACTACAAATTTTATAAAAATACAATTTTTTAATTATTTTGCCACTGAAGCTGCAATGACTAGCAGAATGTCTGGCATATAACAAGTGCAGAATTATTTTTAATAGATTTATTGAGGTATATTAATATACAATAAAATGCCCACATTTAAATTGTTTTGACATTTTGACAATTGTTTTGACACACAAAATAAGTTTTGACACATGTACAGACTCATAAAGCCCTCACCAAAATCAAGGTAATCAACATATTCATTACTCCCAAAAGTTTCCTCATGCTTTCTTTGTAATCTCGCCCAGCAATCACCCCGCACCCCATCCCCATGCAACCAGTGATCTGTTTTCTGTCACCATAGATTAGTTTGCAGTTTCTAGAATTTGATATAAGTGAAATCGAACAGTATATATTGTTTTCTGCCTGGCTTCTTTCACTCAGCTTAATTATTTTGAGATTCATTTGTCATGTGCGAAACCATAGCTTATTTATTTTTATTCCTTTTGTTGACTAGTATTCTATTGTATGGCTGTACTACAGTTTGTTTATCCATTCATCTGTTGATGAACATTTGAGTCGTTCCCAGTTTTCGGCTTTTACAGATTAAGCTACTGTGATGATGGGTACATAAGTCTTTATATAGACATACTTTCATTTTTCTGGGGTGACACTTCAGAGTAGGATGGCTGGATCATACAGTAGGTGTATGTTTGACTTTTTAACAGACTGCCAAACTGTTCTCCAAAGTGATTCTACTATTTAACATTTTTATCTGCATTGTATAGCATTCTCCCTTCCTCTCACTGTTGGTATGGTCAGTCTTTTGAATTTTAGCCACTCTCATAGGTATACAGTGGTATCTCATTGTGGTTTTGTTTTTCCCTAATGTTTAATGATGTTTAGCATTCATACATTTTTTTTTTTTGCCATCTGTTCATCATTTTTAGTGAAGTGTCTTCATGTCTTTTTCCCATTTGGTATAGGAAGGGAGTTGGTTGTTTTCTTATTAGTTAGCTTTAAGAGCTCTTTGTATATTCTGGATATTAGTCCTTTATGAGACATACGATTTCAAATATTTTCTCCCATTCAGTGGCTTATCTTTTCAGTCCTTTAACAGTGTCTTTCAAAGAGCAGAAGTTTATGATTTTGCTGAAGTCCAAGTTATCAGTTTTATATGGATTGTATTTTGAGTCAACCCTAAAAAAAAAAAATTGCCTGACTGAAGGTCATAAAGATTTTCTCCTATATTTTCTTCTAGAAGTTTTATAGTTTTAGGTTTTATATTTAGGTCTGTGTTCCATTTTGAGTTAATTTGAAGGGTTTTTTTGTATATGGATGTCCGATTGTTTCAGCATTATTTGTTGAAAATATGACTCTTTCTCCACCGAATTGCTTTTGCGTCTTTGTGGAAAATTCAGTTATTTATACACAAGTGGGTCTGTTTCTGAACTCTGTCTCCTGTTCCATTGATCTATCTGTTATTTATGCCAATACCACACTGTCTTGATTACTGTGGTTATATACTACTCTTAAAATATTCAACTTTCTTCTGTGTTTTCAAAATTGTTTCAGATCTTCTAGTTTCTTTGTTTTTCCATATGAACTTTAGAATCAGCTTATCTCTTTTTGTTTGTTTGTTTTTTGAGAGAGAGCCTCACTCTGTCACCCAGGCTGGAATGCAGTGCCAATGATCACGGCTCACCACAGCCTCAACCTCCTGGGCTCAGGTGATCCTCCCACCTCAGCCTCCCGAATAGCTGGGACTATAGGCACACACCACCATGCCCAACTAATTTTTGTAGTTTTTGTAGAGACAGGGCTTTGCCATGTTGCCCAGGCTGGTCTCAGACTCCTGGGCTCAAGCAATCCTCCCACGTCCACCTCGCAAAGTGCCAGGATTACAGGCATAAGCCACCATGCCTGTCCCAGCTTATCAATTTCTACCAAAAAAAAAAAATTGCCAGAATTTTGCTTGACACTTTTTTTATTCTTTAGGTCAATCCAAGGAAAATTGACTTATTATAACCATATTGAGACTTCTGACTCATGGCTCAATATATTTTTATTAAATAAAAGAAGAATTTTTGAAACGGGTTTTGGAATAATTTTCAGAAGTTCTAGGAAAATTAGAAATATCATGTTTAACTGCTGAAAGAAATCATAGATGACACAAACAAATGAAAACACATCTCATGCTTGGGGTGGGGGGAGGAAATCAATATTGTTAAAATTACCATACTGCCCAAAGCAATCTACAGATTCAATGCAATTCCTATGAAAATACCATCATCATTCTTCACAGAACTAGAAAAAAAATCCTAAAATTCATATGGAACCTGCATAGCCAAAGCAATACAAAGCAAAAAGAACAAATCTGGAGGCATCACATCACCCAACTTCGAACTATACTACAAGGTTATTGTTACCAAAACAGCATGGTACTTGTATAAAAATAGGCACATAGACCAATGGAACAGAATAGAGAACTCAGAAATAAAGCCAAATACTTATAGCCAACTGATCTTTGACACAGCAAACAAAAACATAAAATGGAGAAAGGACACCCTATTCAACAAATGGTGCTGGGATAATTGGCAAGCCACATGTAGGATGATGAAACTGGATCCTCATCTCTTACCTTATACAAAAGCCAACTCAAGATGAATCAACGACTTAAATCTAAGGGCTGAAACCATAAAAATTCTAGAAGACAACATCAGAAAAGCCCTTCTAGACATTGGCTTAGGCAAAGAATTCGTGACCAGGAACCCAAAGCAAATGCAACAAAAACAAAAATAGGTAAATGGGACATAATTAAACCAAAAAGCTTCTGTACAGCAAAAGAAAGAATCAGCAGAGTAAACACATAACCCACAGACTAGGAGAAAATATTCACAAAGCATGAATCTGAGAGAGGACTAATATCCAGAATCTATAAGGAACTCAAACAAATCAGCAAGAAAAGAAATAAATAATCCCATCAAAACGTGGGCAAAGAACATGAATAAATAATTCTCAAAAAAGATATATAAACAGTCAACAAATATATGAAAACATGCTCAACATCACTAATTATCAGGTAAATGCAAATTAAAATTGCAATGAGATACCCCCTTACTTCTGCAAGAATGGCCATAATATGAAAAAGACACTTGCACATGCATGTTTATAGCAGCAAAATTCATAATTGCAAAAATATGGAGCCAACATACCTGCCCATCAATCAATGAGTGGATAAAGAAAATGTGGTATATATACACCATCGAATGTGGTATATATGCACTCAGTCATAAAAAGAAATGAGATAATGTATGTTGCACCAACTTGGATGGAGCTGGAGGCCATTATTCTACATGAAGTAACCCTCAGGAATGAAAAACCAAATAATGTATGTTCTCACTTATAAGTAGGAGCTAAGCTGTGAGAATGCAAAGGCTTAAGAATGATATCATGGGCTTTGGAGACTTGTGGGGAAGGATGGGAGGGGGGTGAGAGATAAAAGACTACACATTGGGTACAGTGTACACTGCTCAGGTGACAGGTGCACCAAAATCTCAGAAATCACCACTAAAGAGTTTATCACTGTAACCAAAAACCACCTGTTCACCAAAAGCTATTGAAATTTTAAAAAGAGATAAAATAAAAATGCATAGTTTAAAAATGTAGATAGTATTCATATGGTTCAAAACTCCAAAATTATAGAAGAATACAGAGCATCCCTCCCACTCTTGCCTCCCAGGAACCCAATTCTCATCCTCCATGATCTGCACATTAAAAGTTTCCCCATTCATTTTTATGGCCCTGGATGTAGGGCCATAAAATGGCTTGTAAGGATGTTCCATAATTTATTTAATCAGTGTCTTAGTGAGGGACATTTAGATTATTTCCAATTCTTTGCCACTACAAAAATTCCACAATAAATAACCTTGTACAATCATAATTTCCTACATGTATGTACATAGCTGAAGAATAAATTCTTTAAAATGAGATTGACACCTCAAAGGGTATAGATATTTATACTTTTGATAGTTACTGCCAAATTGCCATCCAAAGGCAATAGAAAATGTATATTCTCAATTTTTAGATCTTTGTAAATCTCATAGATGAAAAATGTCATCAGAGCACAGTTTTTTATTTCTTTTACTATGAATGAGGTGAGTATATTTTGATATATTTAAGAACAATTTATATTTCTTTGTATGAACTACTTAAATGTTCTTACTTTAGTTTCTTCATTTGTACCTCAGTTTCCTCATAGGGTTGTTGTAAAGATAAAATAATTCGTATGCAGAAATATCAAGAACAGTGCCTAGAACATAATAAGCACCATGTAAGCGGTTACTCTTATTGCCATCATCATCATTTGTTCATATCCTTTATCCATTTTTCTACCGGGTTGTTGATCTGTCCTCCTGTTTTTGTAGAAATTACTGAAGTGTAAGAAGGGTGGCCACATATCACACATCTCAGTTTGTCTGAGAAAGTCCCAATGTATGCCTGTTGTCTTAGCATAATAATTAATAAGGCCCCTGCACACTTTCAAATGGTAGTGATTTGAATGATATGGTCACTTTCAAATGGTAGTGATTTGAATTACATGGTGAAGTAAATTAAAACTGCATTTGGAATCTCCAAAAAAAAGACAAATACATAGAAACAGAGAGTAGAATGGTGGTTACTAGAGGTGGGGATTGGGAACACACAAAGGGGATGGGGAGATGGAGGTAAAAGGGTGCAAAGCTGTAGTTGTATGTAGGATGAATAAGTCTAGAGAGTAAGACTAAAGATCCAATGTATAGCATGAGGACTATAGTTAATAGTATTGCACTGCATGCTGGAAATTTGCTGAGAGAATAGATTTCAGGTGCTTTTAACACACAACGAGGGAAAGGTAACTATGTGAGAAGATGTGTATATTAACTTGCTTGACTGCAGTAACCATTCCACTGTGTATATCAAAACATCATGTGGTCAGGAACAATGACTCATGCCTGTAATCCCATTGCTTTAGGAAAGGCAAGGCAGGGAGGATCCCTTGAGACCAGAAGTTCAAGACCAGCCTGGGCAACACAGCAAGACCCCCATCTCTAAAAAAGAAAAAAAAACTTAATTAGCCAGGCATGGTGACATGCACCTGTGGTCCTAGCTACTCAGGAGGCTGAAGGGGGATGATCACTTGAGCCCAGGAGTTTGAGGTTACAGTGAACTATGATTGCGCTGCTACACTCCAGCCTGGACAACACAGCAAGGCCCTATCTCTAAAAAGAAAAATTTTTTAAAAATAATTAAATATATATAATTTTTAAAAAAGAAATATGTTTATTAAAATATGGTAGTAAATTTTGATCTGGCTTTTCATAAAACATTTATTCTAATTATCTTACAAAAACTTTGGGGGAGAGATAACAGTCAACTTTAGGAATTATATGGAATTATATGGTGATTACTTCATACTTGGACATATAAAACCTTGTAATTTCAGAGCTAATATGGGAATATGTTCTACCTTCAGGAAAAGAAAAAAATGGGAAGTCAGTGACAAACTATTAAAATCTAAAAAGAGACTGATGTACATTTAATAAAAGAAGTGTAAATTTAGCTTCCTGCATTTAGAAAAATTTCACTTTTTCTGGCCCCTTAGAAACAATTTACATGTATACCATTTATTCACATTTGTACTTTCTTAACTTTTTGAAACACTTTCAGTCCGTAATTTCTTTTTATTCACACAACTTTGTGAGGTAGGAATGGTAAGTCGTCATTATCTGACAGCTAGGAAACCAAGGAACCTAGCAGATAGCAGATCACTTCAAGTCACAGAGAAAGCTAGCAAACACTGCTTCTCGATCACCTAATTCTCTTCCAGAATGTCTCAGCACTAGCCACCTCTGTGCAATAAAAAAATACAACTCACTTCAGCGAGTTCAAATAGAAAAGGCATCCCAGATCTCCAGAAGGATCAGAGAGGCAGACTTGGAGACTACGCAGCCCAGATCCCCACATAAGTCGACCCAGCAACTACTCTGGGAAAGACCCATTGCCCCTATTATTTGGCTTATAAAGCAAATGTTAGACACTGGAAGGTAGACCCTTGGGCTTGGTGATCCTAAAAGAACTACACCTCCACTCTCCCTCAACAGGCCAAAAGATTCCCTATGGCTTCTATTTCGTCATTTTGCTCTCTTCCAAATAGACACTTCATTCAGAGACTATGGTTAGCAGAGTCTAGGTCACTTCTCTGAGCCCGCATTCAGAATGTAAGAAATCTCCCAAGGTAAAAATGATGTTTGAAAGGAATGAGTAGACTCAACATGGTAAGGTACATCTCATAAAGCTTTCTCAAAATCAATGTGAGTCATAGAATTACTGTGGTTTGGGGACTGAAAGGGATCTTTCCAATTGCCAGTATTTTATAAATTTTAGGCTGTGATTCATTAGAGGGCCATAAAATCAACGTAGTACACCCTATAGTTTTAAAAAACTAAAAATAGAATGGAAAATACCACCATGCACTGCATTAGTGAAGATAAGTATTGCTTGGTGAAACTTTTGTCCTCATTATATATGTGGGTATAAATTTATATATATATATTTATAATATATATATATGTAGAGTACATATATATATATACATGTAGCGTATATGTCTAAGTGTCCTGTGCCATCAGGTAATATGTATTTCTTACTAGAGTCACAGTAAAAAAAAAATTGAAAAACACTAGTCAAATCCAATCTCTTCATTTTACATTTGACAGAGGATAAATAAGGCTCAGAGAACCTTGCTCTGTTGGTTAATGCAAGGCTGGAATTAGGACACAGAAAATTTTAGTCCTACATTTCATTGTAAGGACATTATCACTTAGAAGAAGTGTACTTCTTTTTTATGTAGATCTATTCCTACATTAGCCCTGTTATGATTATCAGATATATTTCATTAATTAGTATATCACAAAATAGTATGTTTTATAATTGTATTTTGAGGTAAGCATTAATTAATGATTGTCACTTGGTTAACACCAGTCTATTAACTTTTGAAAGATAACAAATCTATGTGTTATTTTGAATACTTTTAATGTTCGCAGTTAAATTATGAATTGCAGGGAAGTCATTGAAATAGTAGTTAAAGACATAAATTTTTAAAGAAAATAACCCTTTTAATTTTTAATCAATAGAAGGATTTTTAAGTTGTAATCTGCCATATTGAATAGAAATATATCACTAAAAATATTTTTCTTGTTAGTTCTCCACTGTTTGTCTCTATCAAAACATTAAATACGGAATTTTCCAAAGAAAGTTTCTATGATTTGAAATAAAATATGAAAAACAAAAGGCTTAACAATTTCTCTATAATGTGCTCAACTAAAGATACATCTACTTTTTAAAATTCTGAATACAAAAAATCATTTAAACTTCATGGATATTTTTATATTCATGGGTAAGAATTTTGGAAACAGTGGTAAATATTTTCAAAATGACATAGATTTTACTTTTCCAGTCCTCATTTTAATTGAATTCCTAAAGATTCTATTTCTAAATAGTCATGAACCAAAGATTTGTCCAGCTTGGAATACAGCTGTATCTTCAATAATAAAGCTGATCAAGTCTTTTTGCACAATTGACATACACTGTTGTTTTAACATTTTTATGTTTTAGAAACAGAAGTTTAATATTAATACTTTTATTATGCAACATTAAAGTCTAATTGCTTTTATGATTTTTATAATAAAGAGGGCCAAAGCAAAGTAGATAATACCAAGTCACTGAAGAATAAAAATAAATAATGCCTTAGATTATTCAAAGAAGCCCAATTTCTTTTTTTTCTTTCTTTCTTTTTTTTGTTTGAGACAGGGTCCCACTCTGTCACCCAGGCTGGAGTACAGCGGCACAATCATGGCTCACTGCAGCCTCGACCTTCTGGTCTCAAGTGATCCTCCCACCTCAGCCTCCCAAAGTGCCTGGATTACAAGTGTGAGCCACCAAATTTGGCCAAGAACCCCAACTTCTATTATGTAGTCTTCTCTCTTCTACAGCAACACTCAAGAGGGTCAGAATGAAATGTACAACACTTTTACAAAGCACACCCAGAATCTACGGGTTACCTCAGTGCCTCATCCCAGATTTTGATATGGATTTTTAAGTTGACTTTTCATCACCCATTAATTTTTTCAAACTCACACTGGGAATAGAACATATTTTATTACTGCAATATGTTGACTCTTTACACCCTTTGTAGGAATTTGTGTTACTTATAAAGAATATAACTGTAAACAAAGATGACAAGGTATTTTTCTCACCAAAAACATTTTTTCTGTACTGAGTGGTTCTTGAACAAAGGAAGCTTACTTGACCTACCTAATGTGTAAGGAATTAGGTACAGAAGCTGGTTAGGTAAGGCAAAGAATGAGGATGAGAAATTTACTTATCAGGGGTTTAGAGCGGTCATTAGAAAAGCCTCTACTTCCCAGACTGGTTTGTCCTGCTCAGTGAAGAGTGTTTTATTCCAACATCCTCTTTCCCTAACAGGCATTTAAAATAATGAGAGAATTTTTTAAAACAAGATATTTACAGTAAATAAAAACCTGTCACCACAAAGTGGGGAAAGTTGCTGACATTTTCCTGGGCATAGGATATGCTCATTGAATATGGCACCAAGCCTGCTTCCTTCAGTGAATCCATTTTATCAGCAATTAGGACTGTTGTTTCACTTAAATGGAGAATTCCATTATGACTCCTCAGCAACCTTAACAGATAGAAAGCTTTTTGTAATATTGCTAACTACACAGGAGGAAAGTAGTTATAAACTCCCTTTTGTGCTGTGGTGGATAGTCAGTGGAAAAAAAATCACCTTAAAATATTTCTCAGGACATGTTGGCCTATACCTCATTTGAATTCACGCATCTTTAAAATAAAATCTGTGCCTGGCGCCGTGGCTCACGCCTGTAATCCCAGCACTTTGGGAGGCCAAGGTGGGTGGATCACCTGAGGTCGGGAGTTTGAGACTGGCCTGACCAATATGGAGAAACCCCGTCTCTACTATAAATACAGAATTAGCCGGGCATGGTGGCGCATGCCTGTAATCCCACCTACTCGGGAGGCTGAGGCAGGAGAATCGTTTGAACCTAGGAGGCGGAGGTTGCAGTGAGCCGAGAATGCGCCACTGCACTCCAGCCTGGGCAACAAGAGTGAAACTCCATCTCAAAATAAAATAAAATAAAATAAAATAAAATAAAATAAAATAAATCTTATTTTTATTTTTAAAATAAAATCTTTATTTTATAATAAAAAATTTAAAATTTTTTAAATGAAAATTTTAAATAAAACATTTTTTAAATAAAAAATTTAAAGAAAATAAAAAGATTTCATTTTCTTTAAAATAAAATCTGGCTGTCCAATTGTTATTTCTTCGGTTGCTTTTCAAGAAAGTGTGAAGTCAAAAAGTAATTTTAAAAGGTAGGACTCTTCAATCTGCTTGAACAACAACAACTAGATAGTCTTAAATAAGTTCCTTTTATTTATTCTTACGTTGGTATTTTAAGTTAAATATTATACCAATAAGAATAGCTAGTTACGAAACAGCAGGAAATTCCACATATTTATTTAAAAAATAGACATGTTTTTAAAATCTCATTAATGACTTTGTAAATTGTAATACCTACCTTTGGTAAGGGTGCAATGAAATAAACACCCATAGGTACTAGTGGACATGGCATAAACTGCTACTATCTTTCAGAAAAGGCAATTTCATAATATACATCAAAACCCTAACATGTTTGACCCTTTGCTTCAGAAATTGAACTTTTAGGAATTTAGCCTGATGGAATGTATAATTAAAGAAATGGACAAATACTTGTGTGCAAATGTGTTTGTCATGACATTATCTGTAATACAAAAAAGCTGGAAAAAACATAAATCTACAATAACTGGGAATTGGTTAATGAAATAGTAGGCTATTCATACAATAGATTGCCACATAGGCATCAAGAAATATCCTATTTGAAATTAGTATATACAAACAAAGAAAAAATGTTAAGTTGTTATCTCTCAGTCCAGATGTCTTATTTTCTTTACTCTTTTCTGTATTTTCCAAATTTCCTTCAGTGAACATCTTCAGTTAAGAGGCCTTAAAAGTTCATTTGCTAGTATTATGCTGAAAAGTTCTTTTTTAAAAAATAAAACTACAGTTCAGCACAAGTGAAATTTAATGCTCTTTTTACTATCATTGTATCTTTCGAATATCTGCACCATTATTTGCCTTCCATATGTATTAAAATATGGAAAGAGCCAAAAGAGACATGTAATTCAAGCTCCCCTTTCTTCCCAAATGAAATTCCCCCAAATAAGACCACCATATTTTCAATTTATTAGGCACTTCCGCTTAACTTCTCTTCATAATTATAAGGAGTTCTTTTGAAGTTTATATGTCCTTGTCTTTGTGTTTGATCTGTCTCTTCACTGTGCTGTAGGGACACATCTTCCGCCTTTAAATTCCATCAATCTCCCTTCACCTCCCGCTTCTCCTGTGTCCTAGACAGTGTGTATAATTCTTTGCTCTTCAGCGTATTCAATATAAAGAAGGTAGCATATAAAACAGTTACATAATGCAAGCTTTATTCGTAGTTAGAAAATCATTATCAAAATGTTACCATTGCAATCATTTCCATAGACTGTCACGTAACCAACACCTGCAATGGGGAAGTGGTACACAATCCAACACAACTCATTAGGGGCTCTCAGTCTATTCAATCTCTGACACTCCAGCAGCCTCAGTACCACTTCAGGAGCCAATGCAGTCTACCTCTCTCCAGAGAGCAGTGTTCCACCTTTCTGGGACAGAAGTCAACAATCGCGTTCCCCAAGAGATGGAAAAGAAGTGGAGGAGGGTGAACAGGTTACCAAACCCACTTAGATACACTCCGCATAGACTAACTCTCCAAATTAAAGGACAGGAGGTCACCTGAGCTGACCATAAAAGCTCAGAGTGCTGATGCGAATAAGATCAGGGAAGGCTGCTTATTAACACCGTGGTCACTACAAAAGTTCTTGAGGGCATCTGCTGTGAGTTTTCCATCGTTCCTTATTGTCCTCCTGCATCTCCTGTTGCTTTTCTTGGCCCTCTCCTTTTCGCATTTTCTATGTCCTTTGCCCAGCAGTAGTACTGCAGGCATAAACCATTGTCGACCTGAGAATTAAATTAGCATTTGGTAGCCAGACCTCTCCTTGAGCCTTAGAATGCTTGTGTGCTTGAGGTCCCTGAAGTGTAACGTCATCTCAAAGCGCAAGTAACTAAAGGGAACCTACATGTGACAAGGTGCAGCGGAGGTTCAAGCAGAGCACCCTGGCCGCATCGCAACAGATTATAAAGTGTAGGGGATGAAAATGATGGAAGACATCAGAAAGCCGAGCTGTAAAAAAGCCCAAACTAAGCAAACTGAGACGCGCAAGCGCGTTGCTCACAGCTCGTCTCCCGAGGCCGAGCCACAGCGCCTGCGCACAGAATCCGGGGAGGGTGGGGAAGAGATGAGCACCCAGGCCTGGAGCTCCCACTGCCTCAGCCTCCCTATCCCCGCAAGCTCCGCCTCCTCCAGCTGCTCGCCTTCCCAAACAACCGGGTTCGCCGCCGGCGCTTTCTGCCCATTGGCCCTTAGCCTTTTCCGTTTCCGCCCAGCCCTCAAAATCCACCAATCAGTTTGCACTTTTGGGTGAGGGTCCACCTCCAAGGCTGTCGCTCCGGTTCCTCTGCCTCCTCTGGCTGCTGCCTCCGCAGCTCCCTCCTCCTACCCCACCTCCTCCATCTGGGGAGCGTCTGCGGGGGCCTGAGGGGCGGCGGCGGCGGCGGCGGCTGCGATATGGAGCCAGGGGCCGGCGGCCGAAATACTGCTCGTGCGCAGAGGGCCGGGTCCCCGAACACTCCGCCGCCCCGGGAGCAGGAGCGGAAACTGGAGCAGGAGAAGCTCTCCGGTGTGGTGAAGAGCGTCCACCGGCGGCTCCGCAAGAAGTACCGAGAAGGTAAACAGCGCGCTGAGTGAGGGAGGAAGGGGAGGCCTCATCACCCCCAACCGCTTGTCACCTCTTCCCTCCTCCAAAGAGGCCACCATTAAAATGTAAAGGATCTGCACGTCCCCCCAGCCGCTGCTGCTCTCCCGGGCCTGGTCTGAGCCCCCTAGTCGGCATCAGACGCGCTCCTCCCCGCCCCCTTTTCTTTGAGGGCCCTTCGGGAGAGTTCTAGGCCTGTAAAGGAATTGAGTCCCCACCCCCTCCAAGCCCCTGTCCCCAGCCGGGGTGCTGAGGTTGTTGTCTCGGCACACACAAACACATACACGCTCACAGAGGAGGTGGGGGTCGCTTTTTGCAAGAGACGCCGAGGTAAAACAAGACAGGTAAAATCCATTTGTAAAAGACGAAAAGAAACCTGAGTTGTCCCTCCTTTACGCTTGACCTACCGGCTGTACCATTTGCTTCCTTATCAGACCCCCTTCCTAGTACTTCATTCCTACAACCATGCCGAGCCTTCCTCGCATTGGCTTCCAGGGCTGGGAAGCCAGCAGGCCTTTTAGCTGACTGGACTTCACATTGTTAAAAGGGGGCGGGCTACACTCGTGGCCCCCACTCCCATTTCTTAAATACTTGGTCTTAACTGTTTATTTAGGCGATGAGGAAGAGATCTGGGCAGGTTCTGAAAATACCGTTTGTATTGGAAGCCTCCTAAAGACACCTGCCGATAAAGCCCACCCTCGGCTTCCATGGATGGGGTTCCGGTGAGAACCCCCTCTGTGGAAGCTCATAGGGGAAGAAGCCTTAGTGGCTTTTGCCTGTGCCTGAAGAGTGTTTATAGTTGGAGTCTACAGTTATCCTTGATATCTTTAAATATAGGCTTTTGTACACAGCTGTTTTATAAGATTTTGACAGTGAAAATTCTGTTTTCATAGGCTTGGGAGAGAGACTTCTCCTGAGTATCGAAATGAGGAAAGCTTTCCACTGGTTCTCATTTTAGCTTAATTGCAAACTGAAAAGTCAGCAGCCTTCTGGTGTTAGTCCTATACTTAGTTAATAATTTAGGATTAGAAGGAAAATTATGGCAGTGAAGGAATACAGACAGGTAAGATCATGTTACTGTTGATTTATACACACGTTTCAACTACTCTAGAAAGTTAAAACTAAGTATCCTTTGTTCTTTTGAATGTAGTTGATATGTTTCATTTTTCAAACTTTAAAGGTTTCTTTCCTTAGCAAATCAAGCTTAGCTTTTAATAGAGGCTGTTTAATCATCCCCAAATGGGGCTTGTAGTTATTGTTTAACAGATAGCAATAGAAAGAGTCTTATCAGACCTACTTAGGATGGTAAAATATGTTTTTTGAAAGAATGCTACCCAAACCCACAATTTAGTCAATAAAATGAGTAGTTACCATAGCAACAACTGCATCATTCTTGATATTCAAAGAATGCTCTTACATAATGGAATTCACTGTAGATTTTATGTTATTTGGAGAGATTAGGAAATAAATGGACACATTTTCCTGCAATTTATCCTGCTATTTTGTACAAATTTAAGTGCATCTTTCTAAAGAGAAAAATGACTAGCATAGAATTCCATTTCTATTTTTACCTTTTAATAATTTCATTATTCATTTATTCATAAATGAATAGGTTCCACTCAAATTAACACACTAATGTGGCATCTCTTCAAGTGCTGTTTATATGTGCTTAGTTCCCACATGTTTAACCATGTTTTAAGCCTGAGTATTAACCACAGGAACTCTTGTTTATGAGAATCGGAAGTTACCAGATCTAGAATAGATACATGGAGTTCATAAGTGAATGATCTAGTATGCTTCTGGGGAGTTAAAGTCCTGGCAGTTTAAACATTTGAATGAGACTATTCTTTAGGCGCTTTAATACCCTGAATTTCACCGGTGATCTAGACTTCTCTAGGCTTTGCTTGAATGATATACAAAGCCCCATCAGTGAATTAGCAGAATAAGTGATCCTAATGAGCATGCTCCTTCTACCTTTATTTCTGACATATAGGCTAAATATTAGTAGTAAAAAAGTCATCTGTGAAAAACTCTGTGCACATAATAATACTAAGGAAATAATTTTTAGTGTTTTACTTTGAGGACTTAGTATTGTGCTGATGGTCCCCAGTCTGTAAACATATTTTACAAGTTCATTTGCAAGTCAGCTGTTATTGTAATCTGAAGATTGCTTAAGTGCTAGATCAGTCTGCAAAGGCCCATTGAATCAATAACATACCTGAACTATAGCACCAATAACTATGGAAACTGTACCCCTTTTATCACAATTCTTCTACCAGCAAATGCAGTGAAAATTCCAGCTTAGGATCTTGGAGTTTTAGACTAGAAGGAACCTCTTAGCATTTAGCAGTGATTCCCAAACATGGCTGATCAGCAGATTCAACTGGGTGCCTCTTAGACAATTCCTGTATTCTACCTCAGATCTATAGTTTAAGATCCCTATTATTAGGAACTGGAAATTGTCAGCCAGATATTAGAGTGGTGATCTAATAGCTTCTTCATTTTACAGATAAGTGAGCGGAGTCCTAAAAATATTAAAATAACTTTCTTGATGCTTTGGTAGTTCATTATTAATACTATACATATTTTATGGGAATAATATAGGTTCCCCACCCCCAACTCCAAACCTAATATTAGTGACTCCAAATGTTAGAATAGGAGGGAAAATGAGAAGCAGGAAGTGGCCCTAGAATTTCCATTAGGTGAAAAGTTATAAATTGATGGGAATGGATGATCCATAGGATAGGTATGATTAGCTGAGTTGGGGCTATACAAGGTGAGGGTTTTTTGGGGAGAGATGGCAGGGAAGGAAATAAGTTAGGGTAGAATAAGGAGGCAAAACAGCCATTGAATATTAAGGACAGGATAGATAGTGACTGGGAGGTTGGAGAACAGAGCCTTCTTTTCCCTTATCTCTATTAGTGGAATTGAAAATAAAACAGGAAAAACAATGAAAATAAGTTGTGTTGTTCTTTTTTGCTGTGATAAGAAAAGATTTTTTTCCACTCTTCTCCAACCATTTGCCCAACTGATGCTAGTTGATGGTGATGAACAGGCTTGGGGTGGGGAAGGGTGAACAGGGTTGTAAAGAGTAGCAGGTAGGCTTAATGCACTCTTTTCGTTTACCACTTTTTCCTTCCCCAGTTTATGGCCTGCCTTGTTTCACCACTTAAGAGATGCTGTGCCAATTTGTCTAAAGGTAAAGTGAGAACTGGAGATAAAGGTGTGTTCCAGGCAGCACTCGTATCTGAAGCAGTTACTAAAAAGAAATGGTAGGGAGATGCCTAGCAGTGGTGATGCGAAGGGGTATTTCTGGTGTCTGCCATTGATAGTTAAGAGACAGTCTTTTAAAGTGAGGTTATATTCATAAGATATTCATAAGATAGGTTTTTCACTATCTAGTGAATAGATCCATATTTATAAATGGAAATATGCTTGCACATATAGGTGTTTTCTGTCTTTGCATACATAATTTTTAAAATTTGACCTCCATGTAAACCAAAAATATTTTAAATGTATAAGAGTTATAGACAGCTTTTTAATTAAAAAAACTAGTTTCGCTTTTCAAACAGGGACTTCATTATTTAATTAGATGAGCCTGACAAATATGTATCAAATCAAGAACTGAAGTAGAGCCATGTGTGTTTTTGGTTGTCTTTGTATGATTTTTTTTTTCCATAATCGTATTCACATGAACCCATTCCTGTAATGATTGCTTTTATGCCTGGCATTTCTCTTTCTAAACTTAAAGCGTTTATGTAAAAATTCCAAGAAAATGTAAAAGGCTGCAGTTGTCAGGAGTAAAAGTACACTTTTCATTCCATTTCGTTTTTATTTTTTTAACCTATCTTATGAATATCTTTGGGACATTTTATCAAATTATTCAATCCCTGAATTTACTTGTTCTGCATACCAAACAGATTTAAAACAGTTTATCACATAAACACCTGCAGCTTATAAATCAATCACAAAAAAAAGTAAAAGTATGTACTAAACTGTTAAAAGAGGTATTCTTAAAGTCATGGAATTAGGGGGTGATCTTAACAGGTGAATTAGCATGGCAGTGTAGGATAAGCTGAAAAATATATTTGTGATTGACTATTCTTCAGCAAACACTTAAAATGAGAATTGTGGGGGAAGGGGAAAAACTTTTGTATTAAAATAATTTTAAACCAAAAAGGCTAAAAATAAGAGAATGAATGTGATGTTGGTGTTTTTCCAGAAACAAAGTTTTGAAGTTGTTTTAAAAATTAGAATGAGACTCCTTTTAATTGAACTTTTCTTATTTTTTTTCCTCAGTGGGCTTTAAACACAGCTGCTTTAAAATTTTGACCAAGTCCAAGACCTTAAGAAACTTTGAACAGATTCTTTTCTCAAGTGAGGTTTTGCTGTTTTCTTTTTGTGTTCTTCTTATACTTATTCTGATATAGAATCAGAAAGCTTTTTGTGATAGAATATTTGCCTGATCATTGAAATAAATAAGGTGAAGGTTGTCACAGAAGGTCCTGTTAAGTTTGCACTAGGAGAGTTTGAACTGCCATTCCCAACAGAAGAAAAATAATGAAAAGAGTTCAGTAATCAGTAATAGTAAAAGATAAAGGGACCATTTATATAGTCAGTTCAATGAAGGGCATGTAGGTATACAATGTACATTAGTGTTTAGCTATTTGATTTTGTTATTATTAGTGTTCTTTGTGACAAGGTATCGTTTTAGGGGCTTTTTGCAGTTGAAAAGATACACTAGAAACCAAAAGCATTGTTGCAGATTCCTTGATTGTTTAATGGAAAATAAACCCACTAACATAGCGGTTCTTAGCCTTGGTTCCACATCAGTATAATCTTTGGAACTTTGTGGAACACAGACATCTGTATATATAAAAGCTCCCAGAGTACACAGTGGACAAAGAGGTTCAGAAACACAGCTATTGTAGTAGGAGGAATCTAGGAGAAAGGAGGCTTTTATACTAACCTGATCTAAAGTTAATAATAGCTTAAATAACAGTAGTGATGATGAAAATAGAAGAAGACAGACTTTGAAGATCAGAATAGGCAGTTTCAGTGAAAATAAAGAAGGGTCAAAGATGATGCCAATATTTCTTTCCCGGGAAAATGTAGATAGCTATTAGCATACACTTTGGAAATGGTAGGAGTTGGAGGCAAGAGGAACAGGGTAGTCAGGCAGATTGGCTTGTTATAGGGATAATGGTAATGATTTAGTTTGCAATCTATCCTTTGGAAGTTTAGGATTTGGAAGCCCTCTGTGGAGGCTGAATCTTTGAGGCAAGTAAACTGCACAGTGGGGTTGTAATATAGAACTGAGGACAGATCCTTGGAACACACCAGTAGTTAGAGTTTGGAAGAAGAAAAGTGGAACCATCACAGAACACAGGGAGTACTCCCAGGGATCGGGTGTCTGCTGTGCTGGGTACCAACACAGTAGTAGAACTGTATCTGCCGCCATTTATGCTTCATTTACAGTAGAGTGAAGGTGTTCATAGTGACAGCCTAAAGTCCTCAAGAAAACGTAAAATTATGTTTACTATAATATTTCTTAAGAAAATATTGATTTGCTTTGATTTTCAAAGAGTCCCAGTCTTTCAAAATCAAACAAATCAGTATTTTCAGTTGGTTTTGGTGCATTTGTTTTCTTTAATAAGTATATATCATGTTTGCAGCTTTAAAGCGTCTAAGGCCATGGTTCTTAAAACGTTAGTTGGCTCCAGAATCTTCCAGTGAACTTTTTAAAATGCTGATTCTTAGGTCCCCAGAAAGCAATTTGGTGGATCTGAGATTTGGGGCCCAGGAATCTGCATATTTAATGTCCCTCATGTGATTCTAATTCAGGTGATCATTGGAACACTTTTTGAGAAAACATTGAACTAAGATTTTTCTGTTGCAAAGAAAAGCAGGGTACTTTACTAAAGGATGTGCTCGTCCTGGGAGTTCAAATTGTTTTTCACATTCATTCCTTCCTCATATGTGCCTATGAAATATTTATTTCTGTCATAAAAATACAGTATACAGAGTGAAACATCAGTTGAGATAACTGAATGAGTTAATGATTTTTCAATAATAGGTAGTCTCGCTGCACCACTGTGTAAGGAGCTACTTGTTTTTAAGGCACACTTTAAGAAGTTGTCTTTAAATTTCTTCATTGATAGTTTTGACACATTTTTATATTAGTTTTCTATCTTTTGGTAGCCATTTCTATAGTGTCTAAATAAGTCAGGCACATTTGTCACATAGTTCCTATTATAATCATATCTTCTTCAGTATTTTTGTTAATTTCCTAGAGCAATCTCATACATTGTTCACATTTGACGATTAAGTGGAGACTTTGCTGTTTTATCATACAGTACTTTTGGAGCTCCTGTTTTTACTAGTCCTTGCTAATTAGCAAAAGCAGCAGGATCCCTACCCTCCTTAAGTAACAAAAATAATAGAGATGTTAACCGTAGCTATTCTGTCTTTATGTCTTCAGGGTAGCATTAAGGATTGGATGGCTCCTGGGCATTATCCCTGCCCCTCTTCCTTCCCCCACCAATTCAAGTAAAATTTTCTAAAATGTTCCTCTTTAAATCAGAAGTACTGTTGTACTGGAAGTTTAGCAGCATAATGTTTTTAACAACTTTAAATCTAGATTATTAAGGATTATGGTTTAGAGTCCGATCTTCAGGCCTCTTTTGAAATGACCTCTTCGTGGTTGGTCTTTTAGGCCAGTTTATTGTAATGTAAACTCTTGAAACAAAGATCTGGGTTTTTATTAATCATCACAAACCCCATCCCCACAAACACAGTTGTGTACAGCACCTAGCACAGAATCCTACATAAGTAAGTGCCCCTACCTAAGTGCCCCTCTTACCTTGTGCTTCCATAGCATGATTGTGCCTACCTTTATGGTATTTATAACTTACCAGTTCATTTGTCTGTTTTATCTACTAAACTTAGTTTCTTGAGTAAAACTCTGCCTTTTATCTCTGTAGCCTTAGTACATAGCACCAGGCCTTGTAGATTTAAGGCACACGCACAGAAGAAGCTAATGTAAATATTTCCAGATAGTTGAGTTTTATCTTTTTATATTCATAACTTTAAAATTTTAACTTGTGGATACCCATGTTTTCTAATTTATGCTCATGTCTTCTTAAATTGAGTATATTAGATTAATTTTACCCTTTTTTAAATGGTCCAAGTTATTCTGAATAGCATTCTATTTTTCTATAAATATAATGGTAAATATATCCTTACACTCATTATGGTATCTTTATTTGTTCTCATAAGGATGTTGTAGTGGGTATAATGTATGTCTCTCTGTATGTTGGTAATAAAAATGGTAATAGTGAGCTGGGTACGGTGGCTCATGCCTGTAATCCCAGCACTTTGGGAGGCCGAGGCGGGTGGATCACGAGGTCAAGAGATAGAGACCATCCTGGTTAACTTGGTGAAACCCTGTCTCTACTAAAAATACAAAAAATTAGCCGGGTGTGGTGGCATGTGCCTGTAGTCCCAGCTACTTGTGAGGCTGAGGTAGGAAAATCACTTGAACCTGGATGGCGGAGGTTGCAGTGAGCCGAGATTGCACCACTGCACTCCAGCCTGGGTGACAGAACGAGACTCCATCCCGAAAAAAGAAAAAAAAAAAAAAAGTAATAGTTTTGTGTATTTGTTTATATTTACAGATAAAAATTTTTCAACCCCAATATATCAGTCTCTTAAATTTGAAGTGAAATTTATACTAGTTACAAAATCTAACATCTGACAACCACTAAACTATACTGACCTATTGTGCTTTAAGTGTAGATACACTAATACCCATTGCTGTGTTTATTTTAGAATAGGTGGTTAATCTTCATGCATTTAGAGCAGCATGTGAGTATCCATTTCCATTTATATAGAAATTAGGGTAAGACTTTTTAATTGAACATATGAAAATTAAGTTCCAAAAGGCTGTTCATAAATCCTTTTGTTTGAAAGTTGAAAATTAAACTAAGCAAGTGCTCTGTGTGGTCATAGACCCACCTGTGAAGTTCACTTTCACAAGGGAATAACATGTTGGTGACATTGGTTATGATTTTTCTTGATTTCTTTCCATCTGCCTTATAGGATGTGTTCACAGACTTGCATTTTGGAGTAAGTATTTTTATCGTTGATATGTTTATAATAAAAGGCTGTTCCAAGAACAGAAGATACACCGTGAGCCAGTGTTTGTAGATATTAAGTTTAATCCATGCATTGATTTGTTTTGTTGTGTTTTTTTTTTTGTTAATTAAATTGGACTCTTAAGGTTGTCCCAACCCCCTGCTCTCTATATTATTTTGCCAGGCTTTTAAGCTCACAACCTTGCTATACACCATTGGTTTTAAGCCATAGCTACACGTTGGATTCATCCGGGGAGTGTTAAACTAAATGACCAGTTGCCACTCCAGACCAGTTAAATGAAACTTCTGGGTGATTCCAATGTGCAGCCAGAATTGGCAGCCAGAGTTGAGAACCACTGCCAGAAATCTAACAAATAATGCAGTTGCAGAGACTAAATAACTGCATTTGACTGACAAAAGACCATTTGTTTGTGGTTAGTAGAGTCTGTGTACTTTCCTCTGTTGCAAAGCTTTGCTCATATCCATGAAAGTTCATGAATTAAAAACTTATGAAGAGAAGCAAAGTTTGTGGTTAGGAGCATGACTTTAGCTTTTGACTACCAGGTTTGTTGTGTAACCTTGGAAAAGTTTACTTAATCGCTCTACTTCAGTTTCCTCATCTATAAAGTAAAATATCTGCCTCAATGGATTGGTATTATAATTAAATGAGTTAATATTTGAAAAGCACTTAAAACAACATTTGGCATATAGGAAACACACTAAGCTTGTAAAATACAGAAATTTAAAAATAACAGCTCTTTTATCTGTAGCTATACTGCTTCAATGCATTTAAGGACTATGACATTAAAGACTGGATGGCTCCTGGAATTTTTACCTAGACTGTTCTGTAGTCTTCTCAGTATTAAAATGACTTTTTCTTTTTCTTCTTTTTTTTTTTTTTGCCCCTTTTGCTGTTTGTGTTTCTAAGTTTTTATATGAAAAGTCCAACCTTTTTAGCATGTCAGAATATTGGTGGTGTTTTCTTCCCACATTAGAGAAATGACTATTCATAACATGTTGGCTATAAGATGCAGGTTTTCAAACTTTTTGTTTTCTGGTTACTTTTTGGCTCTTAATTACCAAACACCTTGGATGTTTTTTATCCCACTTTTAGATGTGTCACTGTATCAGGTGCTCAAGAGCTGAGAAGACTGGTCGTTGTATGGCTTAACTATGTAAGACAATCTGAATTCTGAACATTTTGTTTTAATGCCTTGAAATGGTAGCTGAACTTGTTTGCACTTAGTCATGAGTTTCTTTACTTACCTTGTGTTAGAGAAAATGACCATTAAAGGTACTTTGAACTTGAATTTGGTAGTCTTGTCATCTACAGATAAGGCATCTTAGGGCCCGTATTTGGCAATATGCCTAAGTCAGAATCAAATAAATTGTTCTGAATTTCTAAAAGTTTAAGACTTTTGATACTCATGTATTTTTTTGCTTTTTTAGAGAATTTGATGGCCCTCAAATTTAATGAAATATAATCTTAATTTTGTAACATATACCATGCTTGTGGCACATCATTTTTAAAAATTAAATTTATTGAGATATGATTCATGTACAGTAAATTGTGTCTTTTTAAAGTATATAATTCCGTAAGTTTTGACAATGCATGCATCTCTGTAAAACCATTACCACAATAAGGCGTAGAACATTTTCATCACTGCCAAAATTTTCTCATACTTCTTTGCAGTCGGTCTCTCTCTATACTCTCAGTCTCACATGTCTTTTCACTATAGATTCACCTCCATTTATTTTCGTTTCTTAGCTATTGTGAGTAATGCTGCAATGATTATAGGATTGCAGATATCTCTTTGACATACTGATTTCATTTCCTTTGGATAAATACCCATAGTGGGATTGCTGAATCATGTAGTAGTTTTATTTTTAATTTTTTTAGGAACCTCCATACTGTTTTGGCTGTACTAATTTACATACCCAACATAAGTATACAGGATTCACTTTTCTTCACATCCTCACCAATGCTTGTTATCTCTGGTCTTTTTGATAATAGCCATCCTAACAGATGGGAGGTAGTATCTTATTGTGGTTTTAATTTGCATTTTCCTGATGATTAGTTTTGTTGAGCACCCTTCTATATACCCATTGGCCATTTTTTGTGTTGTCTTTGGAAAAATATCTATTCAGGTCATTGCCCATTTTTTAGTCAGATTATTTGTTTTTTTGCTATTCAGTTTGAGGTTTTTTTTATATATCTTTTGGATATTAACCCCTTATCAGGTATATGGTTTGTAAATATATTTTTATCTTAAAATGGCATCACATATATACTTGCTAACTTATTTTCTGTGCTTTGTATGTTTTAAAAAGGAGAATTAGGATAGAGTTATTGAGAAAAAATATTATTTTTATACACATCAAGTATATAAAAATCAAGTGGTCCTGGCATGTAAAAATGCATGAACCTTAGCACCACCTATTCATTTTTTTCACATATAAGTAATTCTTTATCTATTTGGTGGTGTTACTGTTCATTTCTCCTTGAGCTAATAAATTTTTCGAAAAGATCTGTGTACTGCTATTAAAGAACTTAATGGATATGACTGGACTGTCAGCTGCAAGGTTTTCTTTTGACAATAACACAAAATGAAAAAGCCTTTTTAATAAGCTTAAAACAATGGTCTCTAGAAAAATGACATTGAAATTATTGCTTTTCTGACCTTGGAACTCTTACTTTGAAAACAGTAACTATTGTGAAAAATTTAAATTCTGCTTTTGAGTGACTGCTATTTATTGAAAGCCATCCTCTGTAGTTTGAATTTTATCTTAGCAACTAATTTAATTTGTTTATACTTTTCATGTTTATTTTTTGAGCATGATGAAAATTTAAATATTTTGTCCTCCACTGACTGAGCACCCTAATTAACTTCTCTAATTTATACAAATTGTAAATCAAAAGTAGTCTTTGCTTTTCCATTTATACTTTCTATTGGGAAAATCACACCTGGTTTTAATAGACAGTATGTATAAATGAATGACAAAGTACCGTAAGGATGGCAGATGAGGGAAGTGTAAGATGATAAAGTGGGAGGCAGATAAACCCTCTTGAAGAAAATATGAATTCAGTTACATTTTGAAGGAAAAAAAATGCTGTACCAGATGGCAGGAGAGAGGTTAATTCATAAAGAAAGAATAATATCAACTCTAAATAAATAATTTAGGGATTCCATTGGTTCACTTTAATTTGGAACTGTTTTAGAGCTGCGCTTCTGGATGTTATGTAGAGCAAAAATACTTTTAAACCCATTTCCTTGTACTTGTTTTTTTACAAAGGCAGTTGCATTGTAATAATGTCTTAATCACAAAGTTATTAAAAATGGAACTCTTTTTAAATTAATGAATGTGCTATTCTTTCCTAGTTGTCATTGTCCTTTTATTAGTAGCTCCTAATTTATTTTTTAGTTGTGACATAGTGTTTTTGAAGGTGAGTTTAGTCAATGCAATAGTTATGGTATTATCTTGATATAAGATTCAAAATAATTTGGTTCATTGATTATCATATTGAACTTGGTTTGGCAACTTTAAGTTGGCATCACTCATGTTTAAAATTACGAATTTGTTTTTTAAAATGGGTGTTTGAAAAATTTAAATGTTATGGGATAACTAAATAGAAGTCATGTTAATGTGAACTTTGTTCTAGAATTTTGTAAGACAATTTAAGCTGTAGAGCATATATTTTTGAATTGTGCTTTCTAAAAATAATTTGTGAATTCTCTGTAGTTGGTCAAAGTAAAACGTGTGTACCCATTGCAGATTTTGTTCTCCACGCCTCCCTTTCCCCTTGTACCTGTCTCTTTCTCTCTCTCTTTCTCTCTGTCTCACTTTTACTTTAAGACACATGTATTTTTTCTAGAATGCCTATAAGAAATTGGTAAGAAAATGGGTTATTAATTACAACACTTTTGAGTCATTCACAGATGCCATTATATTAAAATAAATCATAAGGCTAATTATTAATTCATTGAGAGTTCTGATAGAACTTGAAGACCTAAATGTTTCTTATACTGTGTTGACTAGACCTTTCATGCAAACTTCAAGAAGTTCTAGCTCCTGATTTACCTTTTAATAATGAAAAAATGTTGTCCTTTTAAATAGTATATCTTTTAATTATTAGTTGACCTAATAACTAAGTGATAAAAAAATCCTTAAAATTGAGTTTTAATATATTGTTTGTATATGCAGTTTGAGTTGGTAGAGGAGTTTTAAATATTATACTGGGCACTGGTGAACCCTAACTTTTTTTGGATTTTAGAACCTGAATCATAGATTACTTTGAAAAACTTTGCTCAAAATTTAAATACCATTATTTTAAATACTATAAAAACAAAAAATGGGCTATTATGAAAATACTTTTTCTCATTCCTTTTTAATAATTTCATTTATTTTTAAAATTACCTTAAGCTTTCAGAGGTATTTTGGGAAGTGGAATTTTCTCATAACTAAAGGCCAGCTATGTTTTTTGTTCAATTTTATAACCACCAGACTTTTAACAAAATGTATACACAGTAGTCAGAGTTTGAAACATTTTTATTTTATAAATATATGAAATAAAAGTTTTGGGTCCAGGATGCCTTGCATAGGATATAGGGAACCCGTCAGGTTCATATCTCTTTTATAGCATTTCCACATTTTACATGTCTTCTCCCCTTTTTTTGATACCAATGCCTGCTCATTAACTTTATTTTCTGTAGCATTTAATATGGAGTATTTTTAAAAGAAAATCTGTTGAAAGAAGGAAAAATATATACAGGTGCATCTTCTACTGTCAGTTATATATTTAAGTATACTTCACTTTATGAATCACATCAATTTTCAGTGTCAACACACTTTGTGAGAGTCTGCAGACTCCTCAATGTTAATGAAATCGTTAAATTGAAGTTGTTTGGTTAATCTGAGTTGCATTAGCCTACAAAGTTTGAATTCTTCCTTAGGACTTCAGTGAGGTAGATAGCCATAAAATTTCATTAGGTGGTATTTCAGAGAATTTTGTTGAGTATGAAAAACTAGAGGTCTTCTAAAAAGTTGTAGGGTAGTAGGTTTCTGTGTATTTTCAGTTCTTTGCATCTTATAGCTAGTAGAATAATTATAGAGTAAATTGAGTTTCAAAGTATATAGTGACATGGCAAGGACTCTAAGAATTTCTAACAGATGCCTGTGTTGCCTCACATAGCACACCCTTTGTCCTCACCCATGGTAGATAGACACTTTGAGCTCAGATTCACTAGCCCTTACATAGACCCACTTTAAATGAGTGCTGCTTTTTTGTGTTCTGCCTTTCTCCCACACTGCTGGAGCCCACTGAGATTGTCCCCTTATTCAGTGGCTAAGTGCAGACTAGCAGTGCAGATTGTTAATAATTCTCAGTTAATGGGGATAAGAACTTAGAGATAAATGCCGTGGCCTCCCATTCTTTAGGTGCACAATTCTGGACACATTCGGTATGCTTTTCAGTTTGCCAACAGCAGCAACCTCAGTAAAGCAACCTTGTATTAGTTTTTTCTCCTTCCCATCTTTCTCTCTACTTCCTTACTCCTGTTTCCTAGGATTCTCACCCAATTAAACTACATGGACCCAGGTCTTTGTCTTAAGTTGTACTTTTTTTTTTTTTTTTTTGAGACAGAGCTTGGCTCTTGTCACCCAGGTTGGAGTGCAATGGCATGATCTCAGCTCACTGCAACCTCCACCTCCCAGGTTCAAGCGATTCTCCTGCCTCAGCCTCCCGAATAGTTGGGATTACAGGCATGCGCCACCACACCTGGCTAATTTTGTATTTTGTAGTAGACGCAGGGTTTTACCATGTTTGTCAGGATGGTCTCAAACTCCTGACCTCAGGTAATCTGCCGGCCTTGGCCTCCCAAAGTGCTGGGATTACAGGCAAGAGCTACCACACCCAACCAAGTTGTACATTCTTTAGACGCTAAGTCTTGCAGAAAGGAAAAGAAAATATGTTTGTTTTAAGCATAGCTTTTCCCAGGTATATGTTATCATAGAACTTTTGTTTGAATGACTCCTATTAACAGCACATATAATACATTTATGTATTTACTTATAATGTATAGATTCTATAGGGCAGTGAAACTTAAAAGTTCAAAAAAAGGCCTTCTAGACTTGATGATTCACCTTTAAAATTATACAATACCTTAATGAATGATTTAGTTTCAAATTTGATGGATAAAGTCAGAAATAGTGTTATGTACCATCATGGGTTTATGAAAGTGTCATTAATTAAAGTATTGTTTCAAACGCCTCACTTTCTGAAGTTCTATTTAGAGACTTGATAAATAACTACATCTGAAAGATGTTGCTAAAACTGAGGAAAGCAGTAGTGTGTTTAAATTAATATTCCAATACAGCAGGCAGGCCCTCAAACTGTATGTCTTAAATGAACTTCGGTATGTGGTATTCTCACAGGAGCATTTGTGTATACCTTCAACTTGAACATTGAATCTGCCTCAAACTTCACCCTTTTTTCTTTTTCCTTGGACTTGTGTTTTATGAATAGTTATTTTATCACAGAAGGTCATTTTCAAATGAAACTGCTGGAAAAAAACATTAATAGGAATTCAAGTCAAACTGCTAAAAAAAAAAGAACATTGGCCATTATATTAAAATAAATCATAATTTATTATGATTTAACATGATTGAACTCGAATACCTTAACATTTCTAAAACTGAGGAATTTTTATTTGAGAATCTAGAAAACTTTTCCCTGCTTTTTTTAAGTTAATAGTTATTGCCAGTCTGATATGTAACAAATTGAGAGGCCAGTCACTACCCAAATGTTAGTGATTAATGGAAATATTTGTATATGAGTACATAGCCCCCTCAAAAATAATTCTCTCAGGTTTAAAATCAGTATTCAGGCCAAGACTCAGACTGATATATAGTCATCTTAACAATGTGTGAGAGGGTTTGTTTGTATCCTTACTCTTCTTTCTTGATCAAATTAGAGGGCTAATAGTTTGGTTTTCAACTCAGTACTTATTAGACTGTAGACCCTAAAATACCCAGTAACTGGGATTAATGGAAAGATTTTCAAATTTGAATAGTTAAATATTGGTTGTTACATTTGGACTATTATAATTCCTTTTCTGTTTAAAAAAAACCTCTTAGATGTAAGAATTCAATAACCTTAAGTGGAGGAAGAATTTTAGTATAATTATCTCCCACATTTGGCTGTTCTATTTATAGTTTTTTTTCTTTTTTTTATTATTATTATACTTTAAGTTTTAGGGTACATATGCACAATGTGCAGGTTAGTTACATATGTATACATGTGCCATGCTGGTGTGCTGCACCCATTAACTCGTCCTTTAGCATTAGGTATATCTCCTAATGCTATCCCTCCCCCCTCCCGCCACCCCACAACAGACCCCAGAGTGTGATCTTCCCCTTCCTGTGTCCAAGTGTTCTCATTATTCAATTCCCACCTATGAGTGAGAATATGCGGTGTTTGGTTTTTTGTTCTTGTGATAGTTTACTGAGAATGATGATTTCCAGTTTCATCCATATCCCTACAAAGGACATGAACTCATCATTTTTTATGGCGGCATAGTATTCCATGGTGTATATGTGCCACATTTTCTTAATCCAGTCTGTCATTGTTGGACATTTGGGTTGGTTCCAAGTCTTTGCTATTGTGAATAGTGCCGCAATAAACATACGTGTGCATGTGTCTTTATAGCAGCATGATTTATAGTCCTTTGGGTATATACCCAGTAATGGGATGGCTGGGTCAAATGGTATTTCTAGTTCTAGATCCCTGAGGAATCACCACACTGACTTCCACAATGGTTGAACTAGTTTACAGTCCCACCAATAGTGTAAAAGTGTTCCTATTTCTCCACATCCTCTCCAGCACCTGTTGTTTCCTGACTTAATTTTTTTTTATTTTTTGTTTTTGAGTATTTATTTATTTATTTATTTATTTTTTATTGATCATTCTTGGGTGTTTCTCCCAGAGGGGGATTTGGCAGGGTCATAGGACAATAGTGGAGGGAAGGTCAGCAGATAAACAAGTGAACAAAGGTCTCTGGTTTTCCTAGGCAGAGGACCCTGCAGCCTTCCGCAGTGTTTGTGTCCCTGGGTACTTGAGATTAGGGAGTGGTGATGACTCTTAAGGAGCATGCTGCCTTCAAGCATCTGTTTAACAAAGCACATCTTGCACCGCCCTTAATCCATTTAACCCTGAGTGGACACAGCACATGTTTCAGAGAGCACAGGGTTAGGGGTAAGGTCATAGATCAACAGGATCCCAAGGCAGAAGAATTTTTCTTAGTACAGAACAAAATGAAAAGTCTCCCATGTCTACTTCTTTCTACACAGACATAGCAACCATCCGATTTCTCAATCTTTTCCCCACCTTTCCCCCTTTTCTATTCCACAAAACCGCTATTGTCATCATGGCCTGTTCTCAGTGAGCTGTTGGGTACACCTCCCAGATGGGGTGGTGGCCGGGCAGAGGGGCTCCTCACTTCCCAGTAGGGACGGATGGGGCGGCTGGCCCGGGGGGGGGGGGCTGACCCCCCCACCTCCCTCCCGGACGGGGTGGCTGGCCGGGCGGGGGTCTGACCCCCCACCTCCCTCCCGGACGGGGCGGCTGGCCTGGCGGGGGCTGACCCCCACCTCCCTCCCAGACAGGGTGGCTGCCAGGTGGAGGGGCTCCTCACTTCTCAGACAGGGCGGCTGCCGGGCGGAGGGGCTCCTCACTTCTCAGACGGGGCGGCCGGGCAGAGACGCTCCTCACCTCCCAGATGGGGTCATGGCCGGGCAGAGGTGCTCCTCACATCCCAGACGGGGCGGCGGGGCAGAGGCGCTCCCCACATCTCAGACGATGGGCGGCTGGGTAGAGACACTCCTCACTTCCTAGATGGGATGGCGGCCGGGAAGAGGCGCTCCTCACTTCCTAGATGGGATGGCGGCCGGGCAGAGACGCTCCTCACTTTCCAGACTGAGCAGCCAGGCAGAGGGGCTCCTCACATCCCAGACGATGGGCGGCCAGGCAGAGACGCTCCTCACTTCCCAGACAGGGTGGCGGCTGGGCAGAGGCTGCAATCTCGGCACTTTGGGAGGCCAAGGCAGGCAGCTGGGAGGTGGAGGTTGTAGCAAGCCGAGATCATGCCACTGCACTCCAGCCTGGGCACCATTGAGCACTGAGTGAATGAGACTCCGTCTGCAATCCCGGCACCTCGGGAGGCCGAGGCTGACGGATCACTCGCGGTTAGGAGCTGGAGACCAGCCCGGCCAACACAGCGAAACCCCGTCTCCACCAAAAAAATACGAAAACCAGTCAGGCGTGGCGGCGCGCGCCTGTAATCGCAGGCACTCGGCAGGCTGATGCAGGAGAATCAGGCAGGGAGGTTGCAGTGAGCCGAGATGGCAGCAGTACAGTCCAGCTTCGGCTCGGCATCAGAGGGAGACCGTGGGGAGCGGGAGCGGGAGAGGGAGAGGGAGAGGGAGAGGGGGAGGGGCTTTCCTGACTTTTTAATGATAACCATTCTAAGTGGTGTGAGATGGTATCTCATTGTGGTTTTGATTTGCATTTCTCTGATGGCCAGTGATGGTGAGCATTTTTTCATGTGTTTTTTGGCTGCATAAATGTCTTCTTTTGAGAAGTGTCTGTTAATGTCCTTGTTGATGGGGTTGTTTGTTTTTTTCTTGTAAATTTGTTTGAGTTCATTGTAGATTCTGGATATTAGCCCTTTGTCAGATGAGTAGGTTGCGAAAATTTTCTTCCATTTTGTAGGTTGCCTGTTCACTCTGATGGTAGTTTCTTTTGCTGTGCAGAAGCTCTTTAGTTTAATTAGATCCCATTTGTCAATTTTGGCTTTTGTTGCCATTGCTTTTGGTGTTTTAGACATGAAGTCCTTGCCCATGCCTATGTCCTGAATGGTAATGCCTAGGTTTTCTTTTAGGGTTTTTATGGTTTTAGGTCTAACGTTTAAGTCTTTAATCCATCTTGAATTAATTTTTGTATAAGGTGTAAGGAAGGGATCCAGTTTCAGCTTTCTACATATGGCTAGCCAGTTTTCCCAGCACCATTTATTAAATAGGGAATCCTTTCCCCATTGCTTGTTTTTGTCAGGTTTGTCAAAGATCAGATAGTTGTAGATATGCGGCGTTATTTCTGAGGCGTCTGTTCTGTTCCATTGATCTATATCTCTGTTTTGGTACCATTACCATGCTGTTTTGGTTACTGTAGCCTTGTAGTATAGTTTGAAGTCAGGTAGCGTGATGCCTCCAGCTTTGTTCTTTTGGCTTAGGGTTGACTTGGTGATGCGGGCTCTTTTTTGGTTCCATATGAACTTTAAAGTAGTTTTTTCCAATTCTGTGAAGGAAGTCATTGGTAGCTTGATGGGGATGGCATTGAATCTATAAATTACCTTGGGCAATATGGCCATTTTCACCATATTGATTCTTCCTATCCATGAGCATGGAATGTTCTTCCATTTGTTTGTATCCTCTTTTATTTCCTTGAGCAGTGGTTTGTAGTTCTCCTTGAAGAGGTCCTTCATGTCCCTTGTAAGTTGGATTCCTAGGTATTTTATTCTCTTTGAAGCAATTGTGAATGGGAGTTCACTCATGATTTGGCTGTTTGTCTGTTATTGGTGTATAAGAATGCTTGTGATTTTTGTACATTGATTTTGTATCCTGAGACTTTGCGGAAGTTGCTTATCAGCTTAAGGAGATTTTGGGCTGAGACAGTGGGGTTTTCTAGATATACAATCATGTCATCTGCAAACAGGGACAATTTGACTTCCTCTTTTCCTAATTGAATACCCTTTATTTCCTTCTCCTGCCTAATTGCCCTGGCCAGAACTTCCAACACTATGTTGAATAAGAGTGGTGAGAGAGGGCATCCCTGTCTTGTGCCAGTTTTCAAAGGGAATGCTTCCAGTTTTTGCCCATTCAGTATGATATTGGCTGTGGGTTTGTCATAGATAGCTCTTATTATTTTGAGATATGTCCCATCAATACCTAATTTATTGAGAGTTTTTAGCATGAAGGGTTGTTGAATTTTGTCAAAGGCCTTTTCTGCATCTATTGAGATAATCATGTGGTTTTTGTCTTTGGCTCTGTTTATATGCTGGATTACATTTATTGATTTGCGTGTATTGAACCAGCCTTGCATCCCAGGGATGAAGCCCACTTGATCATGGCGGATAAGCTTTTTGATGCACTGCTGGATTCAGTTTGCCAGTATTTTATTGAGGATTTTTGCATCAATGTTCATCAAGGATATTGGTCTAAAATTCTCTTTTTTGGTTGTGTCTCTGCCAGTCTTTGGTATCAGGATGATGCTGGCCTCATAAAATGAGTTAGGGAGGATTCCCTCTTTTTCTGTTGATTGGAATAGTTTCAGAAGGAATGGTACCAGTTCCTCCTTGTACCTCTGGTAGAATTCGGCTGTGAATCCATCTGGTCCTGGACTCTTTTTGGTTGGTAAGCTATTGATTATTGCCACAATTTCAGAGCCTGTTATTGGTCTATTTGGAGTTTCAACTTCTTCCTGGTTTAGTCTTGGGAGGGTGTATGTGTCCAGGAATTTATCCATTTCTTCTAGATTTTCTAGTTTATTTGCGTAGAGGTGTTTGTAGTATTCTCTCATGGTAGTTTGTATTTCTGTGGGATCGGTGGTGATATCCCCTTTATCATTTTTTATTGCGTCTATTTGATTCTTCTCTCTTTTCTTCTTTATTAGTCTTGCTAGCGGTCTATCAATTTTGTTGATCCTTTCAAAAAACCAGCTCCTGGATTCATTAATTTTTTGAAGGGTTTTTTGTGTCTCTATTTTCTTCAGTTCTGCTCTGATTTTAGTTATTTCTTGCCTTCTGCTAGCTTTTGAATGTGTTTGCTCTAGCTTTTCTAGTTCTTTTAATTGTGATGTTAGGGTGTCAATTTTGGATCTTTCCTGCTTTCTCTTGTGGGCATTTAGTGCTATAAATTTCCCTCTACACACTGCTTTGAATGTGTCCCAGAGATTCTGGTATGTTGTATCTTTGTTCTCGTTGGTTTCAAAGAACATCTTTATTTCTGCCTTCATTTCATTATGTACCCAGTAGTCATTCAGGAGCAGGTTGTTCAGTTTCCATGTAGTTGAGTGGTTTTGAGTGAGTTTCTTAATCCTGAGTTCTAGTTTGATTGCACTGTGCTCTGAGAGACAGTTTGTTGTAATTTCTGTTCTTTTACATTTGCTGAGGAGAGCTTTACTTCCAAGTATGTGGTCAATTTTGGAATAGGTGTGGTGTGGTGCTGAAAAAAATGTATATTCTGTTGATTTGGGGTGGAGAGTTCTGTAGATGTCTATTAGGTCCACTTGGTGCAGAGCTGAGTTCAGTTCCTGGATACCTTTGTTAACTTTCTGTCTCGTTGATCTGTTTAATGTTGACAGTGGGGTGTTAAAGTCTCCCATTATTATTGTGTGGGAGTCTAAGTCTCTTTGTAGGTCACTCAGGACTTGCTTTATGAATCTGGGTGCTCCTGTCTTGGGTGCATATACATTTAGGACAGTTAGCTCTTCTTGTTGAATTCATCCCTTTACCATTATGTAATGGCCTTCTTTGTCTCTTTTGATCTTTGTTGGTTTAAAGTCTGTTTTATCAGAGACTAGGATTGCACCTGCTGCCTTTTTTAGTTTTCCATTTGCTTGGTAGATCTTCCTCCATCCCTTTATTTTGAGCCTATGTGTGTCTCTGCACGTGAGATGGGTTTCCTGAATACAGCACACTGATGGGTCTTGACTCTTTATCCAATTTGCCAGTCTGTGTCTTTTAATTGGAGCATTTAGTCCATTTACATTTAAAGTTGATATTGTTATGTGTGAATTTGATCCCGTCATTATGATGTTAGCTGGTTATTTTGCTCGTTAGTTGATGCAGTTTCTTCCTAGCCTTGAGGGTCTTTACAATTTGGCATGATTTTGCAGTGGCTGGTAGTGGTTGTTCCTTTCCATGTTTAGTGCTTCCTTCAGGAGCTCTTTTAGGGCAGGCCTGATGGTGACAAAATCTCTCAGCATTTGCTTGTCTGTAAAGTATTTTATTTCTCCTTCACTTATGAAGCTTAGTTTGGCTGCATATGAAATTCTGGGTTGAAAATTCTTTTCTTTAAGAATGTTGAATATAGGCCCCCACTCTCTTCTGGCTTGTAGAGTTTCTGCCGAGAGATCCGCTGTTAGTCTGATGGGCTTCCCTTTGTGGGTAACCCGACCTTTCTCTCTGGCTGCCTTTAACATTTTTTCCTTCATTTCAACTTTGGCGAATCTGACAACTATGTGTCTTGGAGTTGCTCTTCTTTAGGAGTATCTTTGTGGCGTTCTCTGTATTTCCTGAATCTGAACGTTGGCCTGCCTTGCTAGATTGGGGAAGTTCTCCTGGATATATCCTGCAGAGTGTTTTCCAACTTGGTTCCATTCTCCCCATCACTTTCAGGTACACCAATCAGACATAGATTTGGTCTTTTCACATAGTCTCATATTTCTTGGAGGCTTTGTTCATTTCTTTTTATTCTTTTTTCTCTAAACTTCCCTTCTCGCTTCATTTCATTCATTTCATCTTCCATCACTGATACCCTTTCTTCCAGTTGATCGCATCAGCTCCTGAGGCTTCTGCATTCTTCACGTAGTTCTCGAGCCTTGGCTTTCAGCTCCATCAGCTCCTTTAAGCACTTCTCTGTATTGGTTATTCTAGTTATACATTTGTCTAAATTTTTTTCAAAGTTTTTAACTTCTTTGCCTTTGGTTTGAATTTTCTCCTTTAGCTCGGAGTAGTTTGATCGTCTGAAGCCTTCTTCTCTCAGCTTGTCAAAGTCATTCTCTGCCAAGCTTTATTCCGTTGCTGGTGAGGAACTGCATTCCTTTGGAGGAGGAGAGGCGCTCTGCTTTTTAGAGTTTCCAGTTTTTCTGCTCTGTTTTTTCCCCATCTTTGTGGTTTTATCTACTTTTGGTCTGTGATGATGGTGATGTACAGATGGGTTTTTGGTGTGGATGTCCTTTCTGTTTGTTAGTTTTCTTTCTAACAGACAGGACCCTCAGCTGCAGGTCTGTTGGAGTTTGCCAGAGGTCCACTCCAGACCCTGTTTGCCTGGAGCAGCGGTGGCTGCAGACCAGCAGATTTTCGTGAACCGCGAATGCTGCTGTCTGATCGTTCCTCTGGAAGTTTTGTCTCAGAGGAGTACCCGGCCGTGTGAGGTGTCAGTCTGCCCCTACTGGGGGGTGCCTCCCAGGTAGGCTGCTCGGGGGTCAGGGGTCAGGGACCCACTTGAGGAGGCAGTCTGCCTGTTCTCAGATCTCCAGCTGCGTGCTGGGAGAACCACTGCTCTCTTCTTCAAAGCCGTCAGACAGGGACATTTAAGTCTGCAGAGGTTACTGCTGTCTTTTTGTTTGTCTGTGCCCTGCCCCCAGAGGTGGAGCCTACAGAGGCAGGCAGGCAGGCCTCCTTGAGCTGTGGTGGGCTCCACCCAGTTCGAGCTTCCCTGCTGCTTTGTTTACCTAAGCAAGCCTGGGCAATGGCGGGCGCCCCTCCCCCAGTCTCGCTGCCGCCTTGCAGTTTGATCTCAGACTGCTGTGCTAGCAATCAGCGAGACTCTGTGGGCGTAGGACCCTCCGAGTCAGGTGTGGGATATAATCTCCTGTTGCGCCGTTTCCCAAGCCCGTCGGAAAAGCGCAGTATTAGGGTGGGAGTGACCCGATTTTCCAGGTGCCATCCGTCACCCCTTTCTTTGACTAGGAAAGGGAACTCCCTGACCCCTTGCGCTTCCCAAGTGAGGCAGTGCCTCGCCCCACTTCGGCTCCCACACGGTGCACTGCACCCACCGTCCTGCACCCACTGTCTGGCACTCCCCAGTGAGATGAACCCGGTACCTCAGATGGAAATGCAGAAATCACCTGTCTTCTGCTTCAGTCACGCTGGGAGCTGTAGACCGGAGCTGTTCCTGTTCGGCCATCTTGGCTCCAACCCCCTCTATTTATAGTTTTAAGTTTATTCTGTCCCCAATTAATGGCCTACATTTCCTTATGGGGTGTAAGAACCTAACTCCTATGTCCAAGGACAGTGAATGAAACTACCCTGTAAATTTTGTTTACTCTATTACCATTACAGTTGCATTAATGTCCTTTATTTAGCAATAGCATTCTCCTACCTTTATTAGTCATCACAGTGATGTTTTCAATTTCATATTGTGATGACTGATTTAATTTTATTTAAATAAAAGGTAGTAGCTGAATGGATAATGTAGTCAGCTTATAGTTTTTATATAGGACATTTTTTAAGGCTTACAAACTTTGGAGAGGCTTCCAAAGTAATTTCCTTCAAGGCAGTTTTTGACTTTTTTGACCTAGAATTATAAATTTTTAAACTACATTATGCCTAGAGCAAGTCCAAGTGTGTAAATAGAAATATTTACTTCATTGCTTAATTTACATTGTCATCTTACCTACCAACCCCTTTTTAATAAATGTAGAAATACAAGAAGATAACAGTCAATAGAGACACAAGAAAATAACAGTCAAGAAGCAGGTTTAGTGTTTGTACTCAGCTCCTGCAAAGTTATATTGCCCAACAGTAACAGGAAAATTAATTCTTGAGTACTCAGCTGTAATTGTTTCTTACCAGCATGTCTTTGGATTATTAACTGATAACTCATATATACAGTATCTGCGTATATGTTGTCAATTTTTCCAGCTTCACAAATCTGTTATCATTCATTTATTTATTAAAAATAATTAAAATGATGCATCCCTTTACATAAAGGAACTTTTATTTAAACATTTTTATTTTTATTTAAATGTATTTATTTAAATGTGTAAACATTTATTTAAACATTTTAAATGTTTAAAATTTTATGGTTTTACTTTATAATTTTGCTTGTATTTATCTTTAAATAATTTCAGATTGTGCTAAAACTTATTTCAAGAGTCTGACATGTTTCAGTGTAAACTTAATTCATTTATCACTTTGTTTTTAGTGGGAGATTTTGATAAGATCTGGCGAGAACACTGTGAGGATGAAGAAACTCTTTGTGAATATGCCGTTGCAATGAAAAATTTGGCAGATAATCATTGGGCAAAAACTTGTGAGGGCGAAGGTCGTATTGAATGGTGTTGTAGGTAAGTACTTTTATGAATTAACGTTTTTGGTTTCAAATGTATTGTTGTAACTTCTTTTTTTTTTTTCCTGAGACGGAGTCTTGCTCTGTCACCCAGGCTGGAGTGCATGGCGTGATCTCGGCTCACTGCAACCTCCACCTCCCGGGTTCAATCAGTTCTTCTGCCTCAGCCTCCCAAGTAGCTGGGATTATAGGCACCCACCACTGTGCCCAGCTATTTTTGTATTTTTAGTAGAGATGGGGTTTCACCATCTTGGCCAGGCTGGTCTCAAACTCCTGACCTCGTGACCTGCCCGCCTCAGCCTCCCAAAGTGCTTGGATTACAGACGTGAGCCACCGCACCTGGCCAAAACTCTTAAATCTAAGTGATGCTGTGTATAATTCATAGTGCCAAAATAGAATACCAGAAATACTGTGAAAGAGATCATGTCTTTTAAAACAACTTTTCTCCCTTTTGCTTCACTTTCCCTAGGTCTGTTTCATTCACCTTTTTAAATAAAAATGCTTTTGACACACTTGTTTTGTTTTAACTTTTAAAAAATATGGCTTTAAATGCATTTAATACATACAATACATTTAAATATAATGATTTAATACTTGACTCATTAATAAATTATGGTATAAAAATTTCTTTAGATAATTATTTAGATTCAAGTAAAAGTGAGTTCTATAAAGTCTTAAAACATCTTAAAATTTTTTAAATCTTGAATTTTTGATGTACGGTTCAGGGTATTCCAGCATTTATATTGACTTTGGATAATGTTTATTTTCTCATGATATTGATTCTAATGCTAAAAATATCAGAAAATGAAATAATGCTTATACTAGTTCTCTTAATGTGGTAAAATTATAAGAAAGGATAAGTATATTGACTAAACTTAAACATGAATTCCCTGAAAAACTCCCGATTGGGTACTATGCTTATTGCCCCGGTGGTGAAATAATCTATATACCAAACCCCTGTGACGTGCAATTTACCTATATAACAAACCTGCAAAAGTAACCCTGGACCAAAAAAAAAAAAAAAAAACTAGAGGCTAAATAAATAAACATGAATTCCCAAAAATAAAGCATTGTCTTTCTCATGGACAGTAAGTTTATGATAACTTCTGGTTTACATTTTCTTTCCATTTTTATTCAAAAATTTTTACATCTCATTTTAAAACTGTAATAATGCATATTTCATTCATTCAACAAATAATTCAGAGAAAAATATGTATTTAACTTAGTTCTTTTATTTAATAAATAATATTTAGTGATTGTCTACTTTGTACCAGTCATATTATAGGCACTAGGAGTACAATAAAACTCACAAAATCCTTGCTCTCATAGAGCTTACGTGCTAGTTGGGGTGAGTGGCCGGAAACAATATGTTGGTTAAATTTACACTAGTGCAGACAGTGGTGAGCACCATGAGAAAAATAAAGCAAGGAAAACTAAAACAATTTTAAGTAAGGTAGGGGAAGAGGGTTTCACTGTTGTGATGTGTGCCAATGATATAAAGGAAATGAGACAGTAAGCCAGCCCTACCAAGTCTGAAGACCTTGAAGAAGAGGCATGCTGGCATGTTTCAGAAACAGCCAGGAGACCAGTGTGGCCAGAGCAAAATGACAGAGGGAGAGAGGTAGAAAATAAGGCAATGAACAGCTAGATTTTGTAGGGTCTTGTGGGCCATTTTAAGACATTGATTTTTACTCTGACATGGGAAGTCATATGGCTGTTTTGACAAAAGAAGTGACAGGATTTTATTAACCTTTTGCAAGATGTCAAGAATTCTTAAGAATTAATTTCTGTGTTAAGAACAGACTATAGGAAGGGCAAGGGTGTCAGTAAGGGAACCCAGTTAGAAAACTACTTCAATAATCATGGCACGAAATTATAGTTAAACAGTTGGTGAATGAGATAGTGAGTTGACAGGACAGTGTACTAGGATTAATGCTCAAATAAGTGTAATGACTCAGAGGAGCCAGGGAGGTGATGGGGCACACATTTTAGTGATTATGATATGTAAGGGAATTGAAAATATAAGGTATAGTTAGAAAGTGGTACCATCAGTGGATTGTGGAGTCAAAGAATAATGGAGTTAAGGAACTAAAGAAAGGTGCCAAAATAATAGGAGATGGGATGGTTGGGGTTAAATGTTTTTATTTGCATTTCTAGAGAGAAGATGGTTATAAATCTGACTGTTTTACAGAATATACATTTTCTCCCTCAAGTTAAGAAACACAAAATGAGGCATACTACTGAACCAAATAGTTCCCCTGTAACAGAAAGTCAGGAAATCAGTACTATTGCTGTTTAAGACCATCATTGTTGGATTTTAGCGTAGTGCTTTTAAATTACTATTACAGTACAGCAGGCAGGCCCTCAAACTGTATCTCTTAAATGAACTTTGATAGGTAGTATTCTTATTGGAGCAATTGCTTTCACCTTCTACTTGAACAATGAATCTGCCTCAAACTTCAGTCTTCTTCCTTTTTCCTTGGATTTTTGTTTTATCAATCGTTATATTATCACATGAGGTCATTTTTTATGTAAACTGATGAAAAATCATTAGGAATTTAGGTCATACTGTTAAAAAAAGAACAGTGGCAAGATATGGTTAAATTTCTTTATTTTTTTTTTTACTATCAGAAGTAATACTAAGAGAAGTTATGTAACATCTTTAAACATAAAACTAGGTTTGGGGAAAAGACTTTGAAACAATATTGTGTTTTGAAACTTGAGTTATATATAATTATGAGCTATATGCAGTTTTTTTCTCTTTTTGATAATTCTAAAAGCATGTCAGTTTGAAAGCTAAAGTGGGCTTTAAAAAGGGTTGGACAAAAGTTTGCTTCTTGTTATACTTAAAACTTATGGGAATATGTTATATGAGGTAAGCCTTACTGACATTATCCTGCCAAGGACAGAATAATAAAATTTTATATGTAATATGAATCATTAAAAGCCAGAGAAAAAAATGCAATATACAGGTATAGCTATACCTTCAATAAAGGAATTTGCCTTTTTTAGCTCTTTAAATACAGAGAAATATATACTATAAACACACTATTTCCTGAACTATTTGAAGGTAAATTACAGATAACATTACATTTTATCCCTAAATCTATTAGCACACATCTCCTAAGAATTAGGAAATTTTTCTACATAACCACAACACCGTCATCATATTAAGACAGTTAACAGTAATCTAATTTTCTAAAATACTTAGTTCATAAGTTCAGATTTTTCTGTCTTCAAAATATATTTTAAAATTTATATATATATGTATTTTTTTCTAAATCCAATCAAGTCTCATACATTGCATTTGGTGGTTACAATTCTTTAGGTTCTTGGTTTTTTTGTTTGTTTGTTTCATAACATTGAGTTTTTAGACAAATGTCAGTTAATTTGTAGAATATCCCACATTCTGCATTTTGCAATTGTTGGTTCAAGCTGGTTAATAGTGTTGTTCAAGTATTCTATATATCTTTACTGATTTTTCTTTCTTGGCTTTTTTATCTATCATTAACCAGTAAAGATGTTTTTAAGATACCATTTTTCCCAGTTTTTCTATAATAGTTACTTGGCTTTTTAGAGATTTAATTTTTCTGTTGAAGTTCTCTGTTTTTGTCCATTTGGGTTGTCTTTTTCTCTATTTTAAAAAAATAAATTTAAAATAGTTATTTTAAAGTTTTTGTCTGCTTATTCTAACATGTCTTATCTGTGGGTCTGTTTCTTTTGGCTATTTTTTCTTTTGGTTATGGGTCATTTTTTCCTGCTTTATGTGTGATAATTCTGTTTTTATACTGGCATTGTGTTTAGAAGAGATTGGCATAAATACCCTTTTTCTCCAGAGAGACATGCTTTTTTTGCTCTGAAAGGCAGCTAGAATGAAAGACTGAACACTTTGATACCATCAGGAGTTGAGCTGTATTGGAGCTGGATGACCTCTTTAGGTGGTTTCAATTCACTTCTGGTCTCAAGTGCTTTGATAGTGAATGAATCCTGTTCTGTGAGTATTACAGGTGCAACTCTCTTGCAGGACATAAGCCTAATGTTTTTCTGCTTTTTAGTTCCACTCGCAGCCACCAGTGCTGTTGCTGCCTTCACATACTCATAAATAGACCTGTGGAGGGAATCAGGAGGAGAATGGGGAGAATTATCTCTACATTTGAGTTTCTTAAAGATATCAATCTGTCACACAGCCAAGCAGTTGTTAAAAGCTCTGCCATTTCCCTTTAATCCAGCAGAGTATTTCTACCCTGGAAGGCTTGATTCTCTGCAGCCCAGGTACCATTTCAGCAAATTCCCCAGTGCCTGTGATCCCTTCTCATTTTGGAAGGACTTGTGCTTGTCTGTAATTTATTTCCTTTAGACCCCTTTGCATTCTCATCTCTCATGATTTCTTTTTAATACGTTGTTTTTTAAATTGTATCATATGAGCTGTTCTGATAATCTGTATCCTAATTCCAAACTAGTTTTGTGTTCTACATGCAGGATTATCTGATTGTTTTCTCATGGTACCAATTATTTATTTCCTCAATCTCATTTATTTCCTGTAAACTGAAAGTTGGGTCTAAAGGATTGATTCAGGTCAGATATTTTTGCAAAAATATCTATTAGATGAAGCTTCATACATCATTTTGTGTCATATTAGTAGGTTTTTGTTGTGAGGTGTACCGCCATTAGAGATACTAAATGTTATCATTTGGTTAAGGTGGTATCTACTCAATCTTTCCATTGTAAACTTATGTTATCCCTTTATAATTAAGTAATATGTACAGTGATATTTTGGCTTGTGGATCAATCCTCTTTCCTAACAGTCTTTCAACAAACAGTTTTACTTCCATTTATTAAATAATATTTGGGGTTACAAAACAATTATTTTTAAAATTGTATTATTTCTTGACATTTATTAGCTGGCATTCTTTTGTAAATAAAAGAATTTTCCTTTATAAATGGTGAATGATGATTACATGTTATCCAGAAAATCAGATTAAAAAATATGTAATTCTGTTTAATTACCAATTTTCACGAAAGCAATTGGTATAATAGTCAATTACAGTTAGGACAACGGGGTTGTGGGGTTTATTTTTTTGGACTGTCACAGTAACATCTTGGATTTTTATTTATTCCATTTTTCATTATTAGTCTTTTTTTGGGGGGTGGGGTGTTCAAATAATTTCATATTAGGCAGCAGGAGCCCAGTCAAAGTTTACTTCTGTGTTTTACGTCACCTGTGAGCACTTTCTTGCTCTGTAGTACAAAGATGAGTCTTTGCTTCCCCTCGTCGAGACCTGGCATCAGACTGTTTCTTCAGGGAGTCCTAGTTTCATTTAGTGGGAAATGGCATTTGAAAAGTAACATGTGGATACTAGATGTGCACAGGGTGTGCTTTATTCTGCATCTTTTTGGTAAAGAGAATTAGAAAAATATATAATATAATATTATATAGTGTTATATATAAATATTCAATCAAATTCCTAATTGATATTTTCCACTCCAGTTTAATATTATAAGATTTTTGCTTAACAACTTTGTTTTATATTTATATTTATTTTTGCTTAACTTATCTGTTTTTTATTTCTCTTCTGTTACACCGAAGGACTTGGTTCTGAATTACATTAATACATTAGCCTTTTCCTACAATTTACATAAAATGATTTAAAAATTGCAATACTGATTTTCTAAAAATAAAATAACTGAAATGTAAGATTTCTTTGCAGTTCTTTTGTCTTTAGAACATATCCCACCAAGGATCAGAATATATGCTTAAAAGTTGCTTGAAACAGTTATTTTCTGTATGGTTGTAATACCAATTTGCTATACAGTTGATTTCACTTAATTTTCAGTTTGGGGCGTTTTTTATTGTTATTTTAATTTTGGAGAATATAAAACATTTACATGGTTCAAAAGTCAAACCTTATAAAAAGATATACTCAAAAAAGACTCCCTTTTATTTTCTTCATTTACACCTGCCTCTGTTACCAACAAAGCTGGTTTCCCAAAAGATGGGGTCTTTCCCTGTTCATTGTCACAAAACCAGTACACAAAACCAGAAGTGAGTATCAAGCAGTGCAGGCTTTATTTGATGGCCATGGAATTGAGAAGCAGGAGCATGGCTCATAATTCAACTTCTCCACTAGTGATAGGCTGGGGGGTTAAAATATAGGGTTTTCTAATGAAGGCATTGGACATTAAAAGCAAGAGGATTAATATTCATGTCTTTTCTAGAAATGGGCAGTGAACTTTCTAGAACTGGAGTGCCACCATCCTTTTTGTCCTTTTATGGCTTCTTGCAGTTGTTACGGTCATTTGCCAACTGTCATGGAACTGGTGGGAGTACCATTTCATTTAGCATGGAAATGAGATTATAATGAAACGTGAGGTCTTTTCATTATGTCAGCTATCTTGGTTCTAACCAGTCTCACCCGGTCTCGTTATTTCAAAGGGAACTTTTTATTACAGGTATCCTGTTTCTTAAAGGTAAGCAGAGTTGGGGCAGGATCAGAATTCAACTGTCATATAGGCATTACACCGGGTAACACCTCCTATGGGTAACCATTTTCATTTGTTTTGTTTTTATCCTACCAGTGTTTGTTTTTGCAAAAATAAACAAATTCATATCCATGTACATATGCATATGTACATATATCCACCCTTTCTTATCCCTGTAGGTGGTAGTGTGTTGTATACTGTTATATACTCTGTACCTTTCTTTTTTACTTAATATGAGAATTACTGTATTTGGTATTGGTCAGGAGTCTTCAGAGAAACAGAAGCAATAGGATGTGTCTGTTTGTGTGTATAGTAAGATTTGTTATAAAGAATTAATGCATATGATTATCGAGTTTGACAACTCCTAAGATCTGCAAGGTGAGTGGGCAAGGTGGCAATCCATGAGTGCTGAAGGTATAGATCCAGTCTAAAGGCCAGCAGCCTCTAGACCCACTTCGAGTCTGAAGGCAGGAAAAAGCTGGTGTCCCAGTTCAAAGGCAGTCAGGCAGGAGGAATTCTCTTTAATTATTCATGAGAGAGTCAGCTTTTTTGTTCTATTCAGGCATCAACTGACTGAATGAGGCCCACTCACATTAAGGAAAGGCAGTCTGCTTTATTTAGTCTACCAATGTAAATGTTAATATCATCCAAAAACACCCTCAAAGAAACACCTAAGATAATGTTTGACAATTGATACCTAAAATTAACCATCACAGGTATACAGATATATTCCTCATTTTCATGACTTGTTTACAAGCTTTTGCTACTACAAATAGTGCTGTAATGAATAACCTTGTGTGTGTGCATTTTGTATTTTTGTCATTGTATATTTGTAGATTCCTAGGTGTGGAATTGCAGGAATGGAGATTAAATGCATATGTGATTTTATTAGATGTGCTGCCAAATTGCCCTGTGTAGAGGTTATATCATTTTGCAGTTTCACCAGCAAATAAATAAATAAATAAATAAATAAATAAATAAGTAAGTAAGAATACCCATTTCTCTATAACTTCACCAACATAGTATGTGGCTCAGCTATTGAATTTTTCTCCGATAGATTGGAATTGGTATCTCTAGCTTGAGTTTATTTTACATTTCTCTTATGAATGAGGTAAAGTACCTTTTTATATATTTAGGAGTCATTTGCCTTTTTTTCCTGTGAATTATGTGATCATGTTTTTGATAGTTTTTTTTTTCTGTTGACTTTTGGTCTCTAATTTTTCTTGATTTTTTTGGAGCTCTTTATATCATTTATAAATATTTGTGCCCTTTGTCTTTGACTATATCTTTTGCCATACAGAAAGTTTTTGCTTTTGTGTAGTTAGATGTATCAGTCTTCTGTTTTATTGCTTCCAGATTTTTATTGTCTTAGAAAAGCTTTCCTAATTACCAGACTGTAGGAATTCAAATAACAATTTGTTATTCACTCGTGTTTTCTTCTAGTACTTAGGGGATTTCTCATTTATTACATTAAATCTCTGACCTGTTTAAAAGTCAAATTTGGTCTTTCTTGTGAAGTATTGATCTAATTTTTTTTCTACCAAAGTTATCCATTTCCCCAACATTTATTAAAAACTTTACCTTTTCTTCAGTAATTTGATATGACACTTACATGATGTACTAAGTTTTCCCATATAGTTGGTTTTGTTTTAGCTTTTCTGTCATATTCCATTGTGTATATCATTGATCCATGCCTACTATCACTATTTTAATCATAAAGACTTACAATGCTGTTCTGTAGTGTCTTCTCTCCATACCCCCATCTCACACTATTCTTTTTCAGGGTTTTCTTGGTTTTTCTTGCTTTTGCTTTTTTCCACATGTACTTTAGGATCAACTGGTCCAACTACATTTTAAAAATTACTTTTATTGAGATTACATTAATTTTTCATAAATTGGGAACAACAGATATCTCAATAATGTTGAGTCATCCTATCCATTAAAAAGATACGTCGGCCGGGCATGGTGGCTCATGCCTATAATCCCAGCACTTTGGGAGGCCGAGGTGGGCAGATCACAAGGTCAAGGGATTGAGACCATCCTGGCCAACATGGTGAATCCCTGTCCCTACTAAAAATACAAAAATTAGCTGGGCATGGTGGTGTGCACCTGTAGTCCCAGCTACTTGGGAGGCTGAGGCAGGAGAATCACTTGAACCCAGGAGGCGGAGGAGGTTGCAGTGAGCCAAGATCGCACCACTGCACTCCAGCCTGGTGACAGAGCAAGACTCTGTCTCAAAAAAAAAAAAAAGATATGTCTTTCCATTTGTTCTAGTCTACTTTAGTCAAAAGTAGCAGACTACTTTGCAAAGTAGTGTTTTAAGGTTTTCTGTATAGTGATTATGCACATTTCTTGTTGTGCTTACTCCTAGGTATTTTGTCATTTTTATTGCTGTTGTAAATGTCCCCTTCCCTTCTGTTTATACAGCTATGCACTGCATAATGACATCTCCATCAACAGTGGAAATATATGGACTACATACAATGGTAGTCCCATAAGATTATAATATTGTACTTTTACTATACCTTTTCTATGTTTAGATACACAAATACTTAACAATTGTGTTACAGTGGCCTACAGTATTCAGTATGGTAACATGCTGTAGATGTGTAGTAGGCTATACCATCTAGATTTAAGTATACTTGGGTGATTTCACAATAATGAAGTCACCTTAATGATGCACTTCTTGGGACATATCCCCATTGTTAAGCAACACATGACTATATTCTAACAGGATATTGTTGTGTGTGTACATATATATATGGATGATTTTCATTTTTTAATGTTTTACATCCTACCATTTTAATGAATTTTCTTTCTGTTTATATGAGTTTATGATTGATTCTCTTGGGTTGTCAAGGTGTATCTGTTATGTCATCTATAAATACACAAAGTTTTATTTCTTCCTCTCTTATTCATTTGACTAAATCTTTTTCTCTTGTCTATTACGTAGCTGTGCTTTATTCATTTTGCAGTAATGTATGTGGTGTATTTTCATTAAGTTGCTGGCTTTTTGGCTGATGTGTGTATATATATATATTTCTAATATTAAGGAAGTGTTTGCCAACTTGTATTTTATTGAGTGTTTATATTAGGAATGGGTTTGAATTTTGTTGAATGACCTTTCAACATCTATGGAGAAGAATAAATGTGTTTTCTTCTTAGATTTATGAATATAGTGAATTATATTAGTGGATTTTCTTATGCTGAACCATCCTTGCATTCCTGAAATACATATCACTTGGTCATATTTAATTCTGTTTGTTAAAATTTAATTTCATATTTTTATTCATATTTATAAGTGATATTGGCCTTTATTTTTGTAGTCTTTATGAGATCAGATAAGTATTATTGTAATTTTGCTCCCTGAAAATGAATTTGGAAAAATGTTTTTGTTTCTATGGTTTGGAACAGTTTAAGTACTTTTGGGGTTGTCTCACATGTATCAGTGGAATTTTAATTTATAGAGGTGACTGAGGGAAAACATGGAGTGATCAATGCCATTGAAATAATTATTTATTACTTATATTTCCTGAGAGAAGGGGACATACTGCACCATGCAGGGCTATAAAGGAAGCACCAGATTTTGTCAGGAGTCAGAAGCAGGAGCTAAAGGAAATCCTAGACCAGAGCTGTTATTGACCTTTTTATGGAAAAGCCAAGGCAGGGCAGAGTAAACGGTTTAGGATTGGCTAGGTTGAATAATTTCAGTAGGCTTTGGGGACTAGAGGCTGTCCGTTGTTGTCTGGTATATGGTCTTGAGTTGATTTAGTAGTGGGGAATTAATGGTCTATGTGTAAAAGTTAGATAGCGGTTGGCTTGCATATGAGAAATGTTTTCCCAAGTAAGTTTACCACCTTAAGGAATTAGCTGGTCCTGAGAGGGGCAGTCTCTCTCTGGATGTATAAGCACACCCTCCAACACCCCTCCCAAAATATCAAAATATGAAAGATAAAGTAAAAAACATGATTAATACAGGGGTTATCTGGTTTTTGAAGGCTTGTACTGGTGCTTTTTGGTAAGATTAACTCTGATAACTATTTCATCTTTGGATTTTTGTTTTGTTTAAACTTTTTATTTCTACCGAGTCAAGTTTAAGAAATTTTTCTATTCTATATATTTGGTGTATTTTTCTAGAAAAAAGTTGCACAAGTTTTTGTGTATTTGTTGGCACTCTTCCTTTCTTTTGCTTCATTTTCTAATCCCTTGAGTTCCATGTTTATTTCATTTGATTTTCTTCTTTTGTTTGTATTGATATAAGCATTAAAGCATCTCAGTTTTCATCAGATTGCTATTTTAGTTGCATTCCTTAGCTTCTGACTTGTAATGCTTTCATTAATTATTTTTAGATATTCTGTGATTTTATTAGTATTTGCCCTCTGACCCAAGTTATTTACTTTTTTACTTTTTTAAAAAATAGCAGATAGAATGGATTTCTTGTTTTTGGTTAATTCTCATTTTATTGCATTGCAATTGTATAATTTTGTCTGTATTTTTTCATTATGGTTTTTACTATGGTTTTCTTCATGACTTAATACACATATATGGTAATTTTTGTGACTATTCCATGTATAATTAAAAAGAAGCTATTCTCTCTGAATGCAGAGTTCATCTTCTAGCAATAAGGTAAACTTTATTATGTTTTTTAGGGCTTCTGTAACCTTTTCATTCTCTTGATTGAAAGTGGAAAGTCCCTGTTGTTGGTGTTTGTCTGTTTCTCCATACATCTCATGGAATTTCTTCTTTGTAAAGATGGCTGCTATGATAAGTGATACATAACTATTTATAATAGTTATATCTTCACTGGGAATTGAAGTGAATTGAATGCCTTTAGCATTTTAAAGTACCCGCTTTTTTTTTTAAGTGATTTAATGCTTTTTATTCCCTACTTCTTCACCAACATTTCTTAATCATCTCATAGATGAAGTTTATCTTCCAGTAGATTTTTTAAAAACAACTTGGAATTATGATGTTCTCTGAGTTCACCCATCTTACAAACTGGTTTTGTATAATTTTGTTACAAGATACGTAGTTTGGATGGATAGAAAATCCTTGACTCACACTTTCTTTCCTTCAGCTTCTGAAAAAATGTTACTCTACTTAGTCTTACTTTTGTATCTTGTTCCTCTTTCTCCTCTGGGTCCTTTTTCTCTCTTGCTCTCTGCTGAACCTTTTGAGAGTCAGTTACAGAAATTACCAGACTTTTATTCCTGAATACTTCAGTGTGTATCATGTAAGAACATTCTTCTACGTAATCATAATACAACTATCACACTCCAGAAATTTAGCATTAATGTGATGCTAACTAATAATGTAATCCATAATCAAATTTCCCCAATTTTCACAATAGTGTCCTTTATACCTGTATTTTTTTTTTTTTCAATCCAGGATCCCATCAGGGATAACTCATTGCACTTAGTTGTGAAGCCTTTTTGGTCTTTAATCTAGAAAAATTCATCATTTTTTTCTTTTCTTTTTTGTCTTTTTATGATACGACTTTTTTTTTTTGTTTTGAGACAGTTTCGCTGTTGTTACCCAGGCTGGAGTGCAGTGATACGATCTGGGCTCACTGCAGCCTCCACTTCCAGGGTTAAGCAATTCTCCTGCCTCAGCCTCCCGAGTAGCTGGGATTACAGGCACCTGCCACTACACCCAGCTAATTTTTATATTTTAGAAGAGGCGGGGTTTTACTATGTTGGTCAGGCGGGTCTTGAACTCCTGACCTCAGGTGATCTGCCTGCCTCGGCCTCCCAAAGTGCTGGGATTACAGGCATGAGCCACTGTGCCTGGCCTATGCGGCCATTTTTTAAAAGTCAACATTTTATAGATTGCCTCTCAATTTGGATATGTGTAGTTTATTTGTGATTAGATATAAGTTAAGTGTATTGTTAGCAAGAGTTTTGCATAGGTGATGTTGTGTCCCTCTCAGTTTAATACATCAGGAGATACATGATATATTTATCCCAAGGTTGGTTTGTTTTCTCTTTTAAGTAGACTTTATTTTTTAGAGCAGTGGGTTTACAACACAATTGACCAGAAACCCACAATAAAATTGACCAGAAAGTACAGAAAGTTCCCATATACAACCACTCCATCCCAAACATGCATAGCCTCCCCCACTGTCAACATCCAGCACTAGAGTGGTACATTTGTTAGAGTTGTTAAACTTATACTGATAGATCATTATCACCCAAAGTCCATAGTTTACCATAGGGTTCATTCTTGATGTTGTACATTCTATGGTTTTTGAAAAATGTATAATGACATGTATCCTCCATTATAGTATTATACAGAATAGTTTAACTGCCCTAAAAATCCTTTGTGCCGGCCTTTTCACCCATCTGCAACCACCAACTTTTTTGGTTTTTTTTTTTGTTTTTTTTTGTTTTTTTTTGTTTTTTTTTTTTGAGACGGAGTTTTGCTCTTGTTGCCCAGGCTGGAGTGCAATGCCGCGATCTCAGCTCACCGCAACCTCCGTCCACTGCAGCCTCCGCCTCCCGGTTCAAGCAATTTTCCTGCCTCAGCCTCCCAAGTAGCTGGGATTACAGGCATGCGCCACCATGCCTGGCTAATTTTGTATATTTAGTAGACACGGATTTCTCCATGTAGGTCAGGCTGGTCTCAAACTCCTGACCTCAGGTGATCCACCCACCTCGGCCTCCCAAAGTGCTGGGATTACAGGCATGAGCCACCACGCCCGGCCTGCAACCACCACCTTTTTTACTGACTTCATAGATTGCCTTTTCCAGAATGTCATATAGTTGGAATTATAAAGTTTGTAGCTTTTTCTGATTGGCTTCTTTTACTTAGTAATTAGCATTTAAGGTTCTTCTGTGTCTTTTTATGGCTTGATATCTCATTTCTTTATACTGCTGAATAATACTCTGTTGTCTAGATGTATCACAGTTTATCCATCCACCTATGGAAGGGTATCTTGGTTGCTTCCAAGTTTTGATAATTATGAATAAAGCTGCTGTAAAAAGTGTAACATTTTGCATTCTCATCAGCACTTGATAAGCATTCTTGTTGCTTCCACTCTGTGTATCTTCTTTGATGAGATGTCTGTTCAGGTCTTTTACCTGGTTTTTAAATTTATTTGCATTCTTACAGAGTTTTAAGAGTTCTTTCTATATTTTAGATAACAGTTCTTCATTGTATATGTCAGCAGTCCTCAACTTTTTTGGCACTAGGGACTGGTTTTGTGGAAGACAATTTTTCCATTGACTGGAGTGGAAGCAGGTGGTTTCGGGGTGATTCAAGTGCATTACATTTATTGTGCACTTTATTTCTATTATTAGTACATTGTAATATATAATGAAATAATTGTACAACTCATCATAATGTAGAATCAGTGAGAGCCCTGAGCTTGTTTTCCTGCAATTAGCCAGTCCCATCTGGGGGTTATATGGGATACAGTGACAGATCATCAGGCTTTAGATTCTCATAAGGAGCGTGCAGCCTAGATCCCTCACATGCACATTTCACAATAAGGGTTCGTGCTTCTATGAGAATCTAGTGCTGTCACTGATCTGACAAGGTGCAAAGCTTAGGCAGTAATGCGAGCAATGGGGAACAGCTGTAAATACAGACGAAGCTTCACTCACTCACCTGCCACTTACCTCCTGCTGTGCAGCCCAGTTCCTAACAGGTCACGGACCAGTACTGGGGGTTGGGGACCCCTGATATGTATGATTTGCAAATATTTTCTCAGTGTCTGTGGCTTTTCTTTTCATTCTCTTGACAATGTCTTTCACAAAGCAAAAAATTTTAATTTAGTGACGTTCAGCTTATCAATTTTTTCTTTTACAGATCATGCCTTTGGTGTCATGTCTAAAAAGTCATCACCATACCCAATGCCATCTAGGTTTTCTCCTATGTTACCTTTTAGACAGTTTATAGTTTTGCATTTTGCATTTATGATGCATTTCAAGATAATTTTTGTCAAAGGTGTAAGGTCTATATCTAGATTTACTTTTTTTCTTTTTTTGCATGTGGATGTCTAGTTCTAGCATGACTTGTTGAAAAAATTTTCTTTTTTCTCCATTGTATTGCCTTTGCTCCTTTTTCAAAGATCTGTTGACCATATTTTTGTAGGTATATTTTTGCACTCTCTATTGTGTTCCATTGATGTATTTGTCTTTTCTTTCACCATTACCACACTGTCTTGATTACTGTAGCTTTATAGTAAGTCTTGAAGTTGGTAGTAGTCCTTCAGTTTGTTTTTCTGTCAATATTGTGTTGCCTATGTTAATTTTAGGTATTATGGAATATTATTCACAACTTTACTGATTCAAAAGGTACGCAGATATTTGGCCGAACATTATTTCTGGGTGTGTCTGCGAGGGTGTTTCCAAATGAGATTGATATTTGAATCTGTAGACTGAGTAAAGCAGATTGCCCTCTCTATTGTGGGTGAGTAGGCCTCTTTTGAGGCCTTCCATCTAGCTGGAACCTACACCATTGACACTTCTGGTTCTTAGGCCTTTGAACTTAGACTACAACTTATAAAATGGTTCTCAAGCCTTTTTGTACTTGGACCAGAACTTATAAAATAGTTCTCAAGCCTTTGGACTTGGATTGGAGCTTTCCTGGTTTTACAGCTTAGGCATAGCAGATTGTGGGACATTTCAGTCTGCATAATCACATAAGCCAATTCCTTATTACAAATCTCTTCTTAGATATCTGTTTATATATATATATATGTACAGATATAATAAATTTATCCCATTGGGTTTTTTCCTCTGAATATATGAATAGTTTATGCACTACAATTACAGTTTTAGAGTATTCTGAATTTAACTATGTATGTACCTTTACCAGTGAGTTTTATATTATACTTTCAGATGATTTCTTATTGTGTGTTAGCATCCTTTTCTTTCAAGTTGAAAAATTCTCTTTAGCATTTCTGGTAAGGTAGGTCTGGTGTGAAGTCCTTCATCTTTGTTTATCTACATATTTCTCCTTTGTGTTTGAAGAATAGCTTTGCGGGGTACAGTATTCTCAGTTGAAAGTTGTTTCCTTTTTTTTTTTTTTTCCTTCAGCACATTGAATATGTCATCTCATTCCCTCTTGGCCTGTAAGGTTTCCACTGAGAAGTGTGCTGCCAGATGTATTGGAGTTCCTTCATTTGTTACCTGTTTCTTTTCTCTTACTGCTTTTAGGATTCTTTCTTTGTCCTTAACCTATAAGAGTTTGATTTTATGCCTTGAAGGTAGTCTTATTTGGGGTGAAGCTGCTTGGTGTTCTTTGATCTTATAACTGCATATTTGTATCTTTCTCTAGGTTTGGAAAACTGTTATTATTCCTTTGAATAAACGTTCTACCCCAGTCTCTGTACTTCCTCTTTAAGGCCAATAACTCTTAGATTTGCCCTTTTGAGGCTATTTTCCAGACTTGTAAGCATTCTTCTTTCTTTTTCACTCCTTTTTTCTTTTTCTCCCCTGATTCTGTATTTTGAAATAGCCTGTCTTTAAGCTAATTCTTTCTTCTGCTTGATCAATTCTGTTTAGATAGTAATACATATTTTTGTTCATTAATTGAATATTTCAGCTCCAGGATTTTTGTTGGATTCTTTAAATTATTTTAATCTCTTTGTTAAATTTCCCTGAAAGATTTATGAATTCCTTCTCTGTTTTTTTGAAGTTCATTGAGATTCCTCAAAAAGCTATTTGGAATTCCCTGAGAAGTCATATATCTGTACTACTCCAGGATTGGTCACTGGTGCCTCATTTAGTCTGTTTGGTGAGGTCACATTTTCCTGACTGTTCTTGATGCTTGTGGATGTTTTTCAGTGTCTGGGCATAGAAGAGTTAGATATTTATTCCAGTCTTTGTAATCTGGACTTGTTAGTATCCATCCTTTTTCAGAGGGCCTTCTAAGCATTCAGAGTTTATCTAAAGTATTACCTAAGCCTGTGGTCACTGTAACCATTTCAGCACTAGAGGGCACTCTAAGCCCAGGTACACTGCAACTTCTGCAGATTGCTGAATTCCCAGCCCTAATGGACTTGAAGATAAGGGAGAAGTTGCTGGGTTCCCAGGCAAAATCCCTCTTCTTCCCCCAGGTGGAATGAGTGTCTGTTTATGCTGGTCTGACCAGAGTTGGGGAAGAAGTGACACAGACACTCTTGTGGCCACCACAGCTGGCCTCATGCTGGGTCATATTTGAACTGTCATTGATGTTTACTGAAGGTCCAAGGCCACTTTAGTCAGCAGGTAATGAATCCTGCAGGGACTTGGGGTCCATCCCCCCAGGGCAGAGGATTCCCTTCTGTCCCAGGGTGGGTCTAGAAGTGCCATGTGGGAACAACAGCCTGGAATCAGGGGCTTTAGGATTCTGCCTGGTGCTTTGTTTTACTGTGGCTGGGCTGGTACCTGGGTTGCAAGGCAAAGTCTCCTATACTCTTCCTCTCCTTGCCCCAAGTGGAAGAAGTCTCTACACTGTACTGCCTAGAATGAGGGGAGGGGTGATGGAGGCATTCCCATGGCCACCACAGCTGGTGTCACACTTGGTTGTAGTACCCTGGGCTCACAGCCTCTGCTGAGACCAGCACAGCACTGGGGCTCACCCAAAGACTACAGTTGCCATGGTCTGGCTGCCACTGACATTTATTGGGAGCCCAGGGCCACTTTATTCAGCCAGTAGCAAAGCAGACTAGGACTAAGATTCCTCCCACTAGGGCAGCAGACTTCTTTCTGTCTGTTCAAGGATGGTCTAAATGCCCCCTGTGGGCACCAGTAGATTTCTGCCCAGTGCTGTGTTCCACTGTGACAGGGCAACATGGAGTTCCAGTGCAAAGTCCCGTAGTTATTTCACACTCCCTCTGCAAAGCACAAAGATTATCTCTCTGGGGTGTACTGCCGGGGCTTGGGAGAGGATGGTATAGACAGTTCAAGACTGTCTATGGAGTTCCTATCATCTTCAATGCATCTTTTCTTGTAGGAACTGTGATCTCTTAACTGACTTAGTTCTTATGAAGGTGCTTTTTTGCATGGATAGTTACTCAATTTGATATTCTTGCAGGTCTAGGGGGTGATTGCTGGAAGATTCTGTTTGGCCACCTTTTCATACATTTCTCTCTTTTATGCAGTCGTCATCTGACTCTGTACTTTGAGTGGCCTCCAAAGCCAACTCGGTTTCAGATTTTTATTTTTTCAATAACAAGTAAAATGAAGTGTTATTTTTTATTTCCTTGTTATGCCATAGGTATAAATGGTAAGTGCTTTTATTTGCTCTCTTTATTGATCTGTATGTTTTTTGAGGGTATATGGGGATATTGGAATTTAGATGATTGTCATTATTCTATGAGAACCTAGAATTTTAGCCCTTTAAGTATTTTACTGCCTTAGTAGCTGTTAGGTTAGACCACATAAAATTGCAATTTTTGTAGCTCAAGAACTTTTGAATATCACCAGTTTTATATGGTTCTACCTGATAGAAACATAAGCAAGCTTTTTAGTATTAATTTCAAGTTGATAAAGTCTACATTTTTATCAGCTTTACTGAGGTATAATTTATATACAATAAAATGCACCCATCTAGTGTACAGTTAGTGGGTATTTACAGTTGTTTACACTTATGTAACCACCACCACTATCAAGATATAGAACATTTTTCTCCAGAAAGCTCCCTTGTACCCCTTTGCACTCGTCCCCACACCCTATCCCAGGCAACCTCTAAACTGCTCTCTGTCATTAGATTAGATTTGTAAAGACTGCATTTTAAAATTGGCCTGTGGATCTTGTGTGATTTGAAGCTTGCATACCTTGGCTCTCCTTCCTCTTTATGTGTGCACTAGGCTCAGGGTTTTTTCATTTGTGAATAGGTCCACTCATCTTCTGCCCAGTACTTTAAACTTCATGTATCTTGAACTGAGGTACATCTCTGAAGACTCATTCTGCTTTTCTCTTTCATGTCTTTGCTTATGCTGTCCTTTCTGCCTAGAAAGTTTCCACTCTACTTTACTTTCCTGGTTTATTCCTACTTATCTTTCTAAAATCCATTTATATTGCTGATTTTAGATTGGGTTAGGTACTTTATTTATAGAAATAACTATCTTTGTTTATCTGTTTATCAATCATGTTTTTTATTGTTATATATAGTAATTATTTGTGTCCTTTACTGAGGTAACAGTAGCTTCTTGAGGGTAACAACTATGCCTTCTGCAATTTGGCCATCATTATGCACCTCTACACATGATGCGTACTTAATAAATGTTTAATTCATGCTGAATAAGTTTCAACTTCTGCGTATAGAGTTAAAACTAAATCTACATAGTATAAGTTAAAGAAGTCTTAGTAATAGGAACTAAGAAAAACTGAAGTTGAACTAATGGGATCCTGTAAGCATGAAGGAGAAATGGGCATAGTTCCCTTGGACCATAGTTGTACTTGCTGAAACCAGTTTTGCATGAATTCTTTGCTCTTCAATTCTTCTCTTGCCATGTATTTTTGGAACTTCACCAAGCAATGTCTGTGGAGAATGATAAAATAGCTTTGTGTAAAGTATGAGCTATATGTAGTAAATTAAGTGCAAATAAGAAGAAAAATGAGCTCGCTCGCTCTCCATATATACATATATACACATATATATACACATACATACAAACACACACACGCGCGTGCGCGCGTGCACGCACACTCACCCTGACTTTGTTATCATAAACCCAGAGGGACCTCAAGAACAGCTGTTGGGTTATCTGTCTACTACTAGTAAAGCCAGCTCAAAATTAACTGCAACTACTATTCCTTCTGGATGTTGTCACTGCATAGTAGAGTTATGTAAGCTTTGCTGGAGAAGTTTTAGTCGAGAGAAGTTCAGTAAAGTATATACAAACACATCTGTAATCCTGAAAAAACATATTTTTTATTTACTAAACATAATTTGTGATCATTCTTTATTGTATAGTAATTTTTAAAAATTTGAAAGTGCTACAAGGTGCTCAAATTTATCTCAGTTTGACATTTTCAAAGCAGAAATCTTAAATTTGAAAGTTTCCCATCTTGATTAATAAAAGCCAATTTTTTCCGTCTTATTTTGTAGTCGTACACAGTATGTTAAAATACAACTTTATTTTTACTTGTAGTGTATGCAGAGAATATTTCCAAAATGGTGGGAAGAGAAAAGCACTTGAGAAAGATGAAAAAAGAGCTGTACTTGCCACTAAGACCACTCCAGCCTTAAATATGCATGAGTCTTCTCAACTTGAAGGTCATTTAACCAACCTCAGCTTTACAAACCCTGAATTTATAACTGAGTAAGTATACTTTTTCTACTTTGATTATCCTGGATAACTGTATTAATGTGAAATAATGCAGTGGTTCATACTAAACAGTGAGCAGTTTACTTGCTCCTCCAGTAGTTACATGATAGACTGAGAAATGCAGATAGGTAATATTATTAGATTAAAAACTAGCAGAAAATTGTAAGAGCTATCTGGAAAACTAGTGGTTCTGTAGCATGTGTTGTTCTAACTGAAAATGAGAAAGAATGGTTCATTAAATACGATTATATAATTATACATTGTTACATAATTATATATATTACATATATGTTATGGCTATATGTGTGTATATAACATATAATTGTTATATAATAGTATTATATAGTTATAATGTACAATGTAATATGTAATTATATAACAATATGTAATTCTTATGTAATTATCAAAACAAAGAATCAAAACAGCAAAATACAATTAAAGTGGCTATCCACTAAGAATTTACAAATAAGGAAAAATAATGAAAGGTTATTAATAGAACCAATTACCATTGTTTTATTGTTGGTAAGAAAATCTGCCTGCTAGTAAGATTATATGCATATAGGCATAAATTTTATAAGTACATGACTATTATAATCCAATTAATTATTAGTACAGGCATAACTTATTTATTGCGCTTGCTTTATTGTACTTCACAGATATTACATTTTTTACAAATTGAAGGTTTGTGGCAACCCTGAGTCAAGCAAGTCGATTGGCACCATTTTCCCAATAGCATGTACTCACTGTGGCTCTGTGATATGGTTTAATTGTGTCCCCACCCAAATCTCATCTTGAGTTGTAGCTCCAATAATTCTCATGTGTTGTGGGAAGGACCCTGTGGGAAATAATTGAATCATGGGGGCGGTTTCCCCCATACTGTTCTCGTGGTAGTGAGTAAGTCTCACGAGATCTGATGGTTTTATAAGGAGTTTCCCCTTTAGCTTGGCTCTCATTCTCTCTTGCCTGCCACCATGTAAGTAAGATATGCCTTTCGCCTTCCATCATGATTGTGAGGCCTCCCCAGCAACATGGAGCTGTGAGTCCATTAAACCTCTTTTTCTTTATAAATTACCCAGGCTCAGAGATGTCTTTATCAGCAGCATGAAAACGCACTAATACACTGTCACATTTTAGTAATTCTCACAATATTTCAAACTTTTTCATTATTATGATGTCTGTTTTGGTGATCTGTGATCAGTGATCTTTGATGTTACTATTAAGATTGTTTAGGGGCACCATATAAGACAGTGAACTTATTATCAACCATATAAGACAGTGAACTTATTCAATAAATGTCATGTATGTTCTAACTGCTCCACGGATCCACTGTTCCCCAGTCTCTCTCCCCTCTCCTCTCTCCCCACTCTTCCCTCTCCCCCTCCCCCTCTTCTCTCTCTCTTTCCCTTCACCCCCAGGCCTCTCTATTCCATAAGACACTAGGGAAATTTGGCCAGTTAATAAACCTACAATGGCCTTTAAGTATACAAGTAAAAAGAGGCACTCCTCTGACTAAATCAAAAGCTAGAAGTGATTAAACTTAGTTAGGTAGGCATGTCAAAAGCTGATATAGGCTGAAAGCTAGGCCTTTTCTACCAAAGAATTAACTGAGTTGTGAATTCAAAGGAAAAGTCATTTATTTTATTGTATTTTATTTTATTTTTGAGACGGAGTCTCGCTCTGTCGCCCAGGCTGGCGTGCAGTGGCATGATCTCAGCTCACTGCAAGCTCCGCCTCCCAGGTTCACGCCATTCTCCTGCCTCAGCCTCCTGAGTAGCTGGGACTACAGGTGCGTGCCACTGTGCCAAGCCAATTTTTGTGTTTTTAGTAGAGACGGGGTTTCACCATGTTGGCCAGGACGGTCTGGATCTCTTGACCTCGTGATCCACCTACCTCGGCCTCCCAAAGTGAAGGAAAAATTATTTTTAAAATTGAAAGTGCTATTCAGTGAACACGGGAATGAGAAGAAAGTAAAACAACTTGATTGTGGATGTGGAGAAAGTTTGAGTGGTCTGGATACAAGATGAAACCAACCACAGCATTCCCTCAAGCCAATACCTAATCCAGAGCAAGGGTCTAACTCTCTTCAATTGAAGGCTAAGAGAGGTGAGGAAGCTTCAGAAGAAAGTTTGAAGCTTAACAGAGGTTGGTTCATGAGGTCTAAGAAACCATCTCCATGACATAAAGTGCAAGGTGAAGCAGCAAGTGATGATTTAGAAGCTGCAGCAGGTTATCCAGAAGATCTACCAAAGACCATTCATGAAAGTGGCTACAGTAAACAACTGATTTTTAATGTAGATTTAAAAGCCTTCTATTGGAAGAAGAAGGCGCCTTTTAGGAGTTTCTTGGCTAGAGATCAGAAGTCAATACCTGGCTTCAGAGCTTCAGAGGACAGGCAGCCTCTCTTGTTAGGGGCTAATGCAGCTGGTGACTTTACGTTGAAGCCAGTGTTAATTTACCATTTGAAAATCCTAGGACCCTTAAGAATTATGCTGAATCTACTCTGGCTGTGCTCTGTAAATGGAACAAAGCCTAGATGACAGCACATCTGTTTAAAGAATAGTTTACGGAATATTTAAAGCCTAGTGTTGAGACCTGCCGTTCAGAAAAAAATATTCCTTTCAAAATATTACTGCCCATTGATAATGTACCAGGTCACCCAAGAGCTCTGATATATATGTACGAGGAGATGAATGTTGTTTTCGTGCCTGCTAATACAACGTCCATTCTGCAGCCCATGGATCAAGGAGTAATTTAGACTTTCAGGTCATATTATTATTATTTTTTTTTTTTTGGAGATGGGTCTCATTCTGTTGCCCAGGCTGGAGTGGAGTGGCATGATCACAGCTCACAGGAGCCTTGACCTCCTGGGCTCAAGTGACCCTCCCACCTCAGCCTCCCCAGTAGCTGGCACCACAAGCATGCACCACCATGCCCAGCTAACTTTTTTAAAATTTTTTATAGAGAGAGAATCTCCCTATATTGCCCAGGCAGGTCTCAAATTTCTGGACTCAAGCAATCCTCCCGTCTCAGCCTCTGGAAGTGCTAGGATTACAGGCATGAGTCACTGAGCCTGGCTCAAGTCATGTTATTTAAGAAATACATTTTGTAAGGCTGTAGTTGTCATGGCGATTTCTCTGATGGATCTGGGCAAAGTCCATTAAAACCTTCTGGAAAGGACTCACCATTCTAGATGCCATTAAGAACATTTGTGATTCATGGGAGCAGATCAGAATATTAACATGAATATGAGTTTGGAGGAGTTTATTCCAAGCCTCATGGATGAAATAACTGCAGATGTGGTGGGAAAAACTAGAATTAGAAGTGGAGCCTGAAGATGGGACTGAATTGCTGCAATTTCATGATAAAACTTGAATGGATGAGGAGTCGTTTCTTATGGATGAGCAAAGGAAGTGTCTTTTTGAGATGGCATCTACTGGTGAAGATGCTGTGAACATTGTTAGAATGACAAAGGATTTAGAATATTATATAAAATTTAATTGATAAAGCAGTGGTTGGGTTTGAGAGGACTGACCAATTTTAAAAGAAATTCTGTGAGTAAAATGCTGTCAAGCAGCATCACATGCTGATGCTTCAGAGAAATCATTCATGATAGGTACAGCCAATGTATGTGGCAAACTTTAGTGTTGTCTTATTTTTAGAAATTCTGATAGCACCCCAGCTTTCAGCAACCATCATGCTAATCAGTCAGCAGCCATGAGTATCAAGGCAAAGCTTCCACCAGTAAAAAGATTACAACTTGCTGGAGGCTCAAATGATGACTAGCATTTTTTAGCCATAAAGTATTTTAAAATTAAGATCTGTACATTGTTTTTTAGACAATGCTATTGCACACTTCATAGACTATGGTGTAGTGGAACATAACTTATATGCACTGGAAAACCAAAAAAATTTTGTAACTTGCTTTATTGCAGTAGTCTGGAACCAAAGCTGTAGTATCTCTGAGGTATTTCGCTGTAATATTAAAATTGTTCCTATACCCTTTTACCCTGTTGGTTTGTGGTATCAAGTGTATTTTGTTAATTACTTAAAAATGCTAAACTTGAATAGTTATAGAAATATTCTTGATAGACACAGAAAATAATTATGAAAGTAAGATACTCTTAAGCAGTTCCAAAACTATAGATAATAACAAGCATTACTTTTGGTTGCTTTGATTTTAAATCATGTTGAAAATATTACCTAGTTTTAAGCAATTACGTTTAAAAATCAAAATATCTTTGATTACTTCAGTAGGGAACCATAAGCCATCTTTACCTTTATTCAAAGGTTACTACAAAGCTTATAATGCATAACGACTTACTAAACATCCTTTAACTCATGTGTTATGGACATTCTTAAATATTAATATTTTAAGTGTTGGCCAGTTAAAGAAATTATATAGTTATACTTCTATCAAACACAGATATGTATGGAAAATATCAACTTTAGATTTCTATATATTTTTTATAGCTCTGTTATATTGTTGAGATTCCCTTATTTATTGAGTCATTGTTACTGCATTTTCCTTTGATTCTTTAAGCATGATTTCCTTAAATTTGTTAAATATTTTTATGGCTGGGCACATTGGCTCATGCCTGTAATCCCAGCACTTTGAGAGGCCAAGACAGGTGGATTGCTTGAGTCCAGGAGTTCAGGACCAGCCTGGACAACATGACAAAACCTGTCTCTACAAAAAAATAACAAAAAAGCCAGGTGTAGTGGCATGTGCCTGTGGTCCTAGCTACTCGGGAGGCTAAAGCGAAAGGATCACTTGAGCCTGGAAGGTGGAGGTTGCAGTGAGTAGAGATCACACCTCTCACTGTACTCCAGCCTGAGTGACAGAGTGATACCCTGTCTTAAAAAAAAAAAAGTATTCATATATATGTATATATGTATACTTTTTTATTTTTATAATATATATATATTTTGTAATCACTGCCTTAAAGTTTTTGTCTGTTTAACCCAACATTTGGGCTCACTCAAGAGTCCATTTACTACTTTTTTTCCCCTGAGTATGGACTATGCTTTTCCGGGTTTCTTTGCATGTCTCATAATTTTTGGTTAAAAAGTATAGAAACTGTCATGGATTTTTTTCCCCTACAAGCGTTAGTAGTAGTGTTTCTCAGTAATTTGCTTAGACTTAATCTGTGGAATCTGTCTCCCTTATTATGTTTAGTGTTTTTTTCAGAGGTGGGGGGGGTTGTTATTTTTTAGGCTGATTTCCTAGGGGTTGCACCAGTATCTGCATAATTTAGTAGCCAAACAATGATAGGTTAGAGGTTGCGCTCAAACACCTCAGTCAGTAAGGCTTCCACCCTCTTCCAGTAGAGTGCGTCTTGATTGGGGAGTGCATTAAACATTTAGGCGCTTTTCAAATCTGCCTCACCTTTTACTTTCTTCTAGGCCCTCTTGGGTTTTCTCTGCATATTCACATAGCCTCCCCATCAGCCATGGCTTTGTGGGGAGCTTATCTAACTCCTCTATATCTATCTCATTTCCAGGATCTTTGTTAAATTTCTGACTAGTCCTCCATTCTGCAGCTCAACCCAACCACAACTACAGCCTGAGACTAGCGTAGCTGCTGACTTTCCATGCTTGTTTCTTCCAAGTTTGCTGCTTTTACTGACACTGCTCTGTGTAGGTTTTTTACCCTTTGCTCCAAATCAAGTTAGCCGCCTCTAGCAGTGAAGCTGCTATTTTTTAACGAGTCCTGTCCTGGAGGAAGTTTCATACTAGCTAAGCAGGGGTTGGGGGTGGTGAGAGCAGCTCCAGGCAAAGATAGGACAGATCCTCACTGTTCCTAAGCTAGGTTCACCTGGTTTTTATGAATAAACACTTTTCATCTTATTTGCCTTTGTTTGAGCCCTAAAGTAGTTGTTTTTGATGATCTTATCCAGGATAGTTTTATAGTTGTTTCTTGAATCGTGGAAGGGATTAACTTAGTATTGAAATTTAGCATTAAAATGATTTAGCCCTGGATGGCTTGGTTTAGATTTTGTTCATTCTAAAAACTCTGAACTCCTTAATATAGCATCAGTCCCCATTGTGTGTGTGTGTATTCTCATTCTTCCTTCTCCTGCCACTATTCTTGCAGCTTGTATTCTGGTCACATGGACCTATTTTAAATTCCTCTAGTGTGGTACATGCTTGTTCTCACTTTCTGGCAATTGCAAATGGGATACGTTCTAATTCTGATAAACTATTGGTGTATTTTATGTTAGACTATATTTGAAGCATGTTCTCTTCCAGAACTTTCTCAGAACTTCCCAAAAGAATTGATACTCTTTGATACCAGTATTGAACTTTCTTTATAACTCTGTTGTGGTATTTATATTGTGTTAAAATTCACTGTTGAACATTTTTCTAACTACAAATGAAATTGAGGTATGAAAAATTTGCCATAGAACAGATATTATAGACATAGAAAAAAGATCACTCAATCCTGGTTACATTTAGGTACACTTCTTTCTAGTCTTTTTACTAGGCATTGTTATTTAAACAAAAGAGGCTATGTTGCATAAAGTATTTTGTAAACTTCTCTTCCCATGCCACTAGAATGCTGTTTTGCATAATATTTCATCATGAAAATCTACCACTGTTTGTGTCTAAATATAAAATGATCCGAAATACCAAATAATACTCCAGTTTCCCAAAGAGAAATCTTTCTCTCTCTCAAACATACATACCTCACATACCACTTTTAAATATGTAGATGAAATAAAGGTCAGATATTTACTGGTTTAGTCACAGATATTATATAGGAAGATATGTATCCTTTACTATCAAAAACTATTCAACTTTTTAGTTTAGATAGCAAGTTCGGATATCAAGAGTTATCTTTTTCTAAGGCTTATCTCCAAATATCTTTCAAGCCATTTGATATCTGGGTTCAGATAGCAAGGGTTCACATAGTAAAGATATACTTTTTTGCACTTAGATTTCATGCATACCCAATTTTTGTTACTACTGGAGTCACCTTTAAGTCATCTATATCTCAGAATTTAGATATGGCACTTTTTGAATATGTGTATAACATGATTACTGGAAATTTTATCCCAAACCCCAATTACCCATTTCCCTAACACTAGGAAAGCTGTGTGTCTACCTCTCCTTCATTGTGTACACATATATTTGTAATTATCACAAAATACTTACTTTGCTGACTTTTTAAAAACATTTATAATTTTTCAAAATATTCACCAAGTATGCTACCATATTTGGCCATAAAACACATCTTAACCAATTTAAAAAGATAGATCATTATACAGAGTATGCCTTCTCTCACACTACAACAGAATTAAACTAGAAATCAGTAACAGAGAACTGAAGAGTCCCAAAATATTTGTAGATCTAACATCACACCTCTAAATAGCACAAGGGTCAGATAAGTAAGTCTCAGAAGAATTAGAAAATGTTTTTGAACTAACTGAAAATGAAAACATACCTCATCAAATTTGTAGTATGTTCTGACAGCAGTACTTAGAGGGAAATATGTAGCATTGAATGCACGTTAGAAAAGAAGGTGCAAAATCAATAATATAAGCATCTATCTTTGGAAACTAGAAAAGTAAGAGCAAATTAAATCTAAGCAGAAGAAAAGAAAAATTAGAACAGAAATTAATGAAATTGAAAACAGAAAAACAATAGAGAAAATCAGTGAAACCAAAAGGTTTCATTTGAAAAGATCAACAAAATTAATAGACCTGTAGCCAAGCTAACCAACGAAAAGAGATAGGATACAAATTACTAATAAATACCAAAAATGAAAGAGAGCCCACCATTACTGATTCCATCAATAGTAAAAGAATAAAAAGGAATATTATGAACAATTCTACGACTACATATTTGATAACTTGGATGAAATAGACTGGTTCCTTGAAAGATACAATCTACTAAAACTCAGACAAGGAGATATAGATAATATGGAAAGCCTATATCTATTACAGAAATTGAAGAAATAATTAACTGCCTTTTAAAACAGGAAGCACCAGGCTCAGATGTTTTCACTGGTGAAATATACCAGACATTTAAGGAAGGAAGAATACCAGTTCTCTACAATCTGTTCCTGAAAACAGAATCAGAGGGAACACTTTCTAACTCATTCTGTGAGGCCAGGAGAATGAAGTTTAAGACACTGAACCAGTTTTCCCATTTCCAAATGTGAATTAACATTTTCTTGTTCCTGACTGATTGTATAAACATGATTATTAGATAATGACTGAATCTGTATTTGGGGGTTAAGTTACACTTTGGTTGCTGGTGATGGAAACAAACCTAAGGCCAGTAGGACATTGGAGAATTTATCTAGTTGCCTGATGATACGGCTGTTTAATACGATCTTTTTAAAAACGAATAATATGATCTTATATTTTTTATTTATTTATTTATTTTGAGATGGAGTCTCGCTCTGTAGCCCAGGCTGGAGTAGAGTGGCACATTCTAGGCTTACTGCAGCCTCTGCCTCCCAGGTCCTGGTTCAAGCAATTCTTCTGCCTCAGCCTCCCAAGTAGCTGGGATTACAGGTGCATGCCACCATGCTCAGCTAATTTTTTGTATTTTTAGTAGAGATGGGGTTTCACCATGTTGGCCCAGGCTGGTCTTGAACTTCTGACCTCGTGATCTGCCTTCCTCGGCCTCCAAAGTGCTGGGATTACAGGAGTGAGCCGCTGTGCCTGGCCCAGTATGATCTTTTAAAGAAAACATCCAATAATTGCCATTGGAAAGCTGTACTTCAATGTATAATTACCAAATTGGTACTAAATTTCTTTGCCTCTGTGTGGGGGCAGGGAGATATGGTGGAACCAAGTTTATCAAGTGATTTCTTACCAGGTAAGTAACCAAGCTACACTGTATGAAGTCCTTTCAGGCCAGTGTTAGTTTTCCCCAAAATAGTCTTTATTGTTCAAAGTAAAAAAATTGAGAGGGCTGAATAGCATAGAGACTTTGTACGGCTCAAACATAAGCTGATGCTCTCTTTTTTGAAGGACAGTATGGTAGAAAGAATCTTGCTTTATATGAATTGTTCTTTCATTGGACATTTAGGTTGTTTCCTTTCTCACAGCTGTTTTATTTCAGCAATAAATCTTTGTGCTTGAGTTTTCATGTCTTTGGGATGGATTCCCAGAAGTGGAGTTTTAGGTTGAAGAGTATAAATGGGCTCTTGTACATATTACTGAATTCCTTTCCAGAAAGATAATACTAATTCCATTATCTCTAGCAATATAAATGCCCATTTTGCCAAAACTCACTAGCATTAAGTATTTTCATTTTTTCACTCTTTATTAACATGATGGAATAAAATGGCATCCCATCTGATATGGTTTGGCCGTGTCCTCACCCAAATGTCATCTTATATTGTAGTTCCCATAATCCCCACATGTCATAGAAGGGACCTGGTGGGAGGTAATTAAATCATGGGGGTGGTTACCCCCATGCCGTTGTTCTCATGATACCAAGTGAGTTTTCACAAGATCTCATAGTTTTATAAGGGGCTTTTCCCCCTTTTGCTCAGCACTTCTCCTTGCTGCCACCAGGTGAGGAAGGACATGTTTGCTTTCCCTTCCACCATGATTGTAAGTTTCCTGAGGCTTTCCCAGCCATGCTGAACTGTGAGTCAATTAAACCTCTTTCCTTTATAAGTTACCCAGTCTCGGGTATGTCTTTATTAGTAGTATGATAATGGACTAATACAGTAAATTGGTACCACAGAAAGTGGGGTGTTGCTATAAAGATACCCAAAAATGTGGGAGCAACTTTGGAACTGGGTAACAGGCAGACGTCAGAACAGTTTGGAGGGCTCAGAAGAAGACAGTAAAATGTGGGAATGCTTGGAACTTCCAAGAGACTTGAAGGGCTCAGAAGATAGGAAGATGTGGGAAAGTTTGGAACTTCCTAAAGACTTGTCAAATGGTTTTGACCAAAATGCTGGTGGTGATATGGACAATGAAGTCCAGGCTGAGGCTGAGGTGGCCTCAGATGGAGATGGGGAACTAGTTGGGAACTGGAGTAAGGGTCACTCATCCTATGCAAAGAGACTGGCAGCATTTTGCTCCTGCCCCAGAGATCTGTGGAACTTTGAACTTGAGAGAGATGATTTAAGGTATCTGGTGGAAGAAATTTCTAAGTGGCAAAGTGCTCAAGAGGAAGCAGAGCATAAAAGTTTGGAAAATTTGCAGCCTGATGATATGATAGAAAAGAAAAACCCGTTTTCTGGGGAGAAATTCAAGCTGGCTACAGAAATTTGCATAGGTAACGAGGAGCCAAATGTGAATCACCAAGACAGTGGGGAAAATGCCTCCAGGGCACATCAGAGATCTTCACAGCAGCCCCTCTCATCACAGGCCTAGAAGCCTAGGGAGGAAAAATGGTTTCATGGGCTGATCCCAGGGCCCCCCCTGCCCTGTGCAGCCTTGAGACATGGTGCCCTGCATCCCAGCTGCTTCAGCTCCAGCTGTGGCTAAAAGGGGCCAAGGTACAGCTCAGGCCATTGCTTCAGAGGGTGCAAGTCCCAAGACTTGAAGGCTTCCACATGGTGTTGAGCCTGTGGGTGCATACAAAGTGTGTGAATAGAAGAATTGAGGTTTGGGAACCTCTGCCTAGATTTCAGAGGATGTATGAAACATCTGAATGTCCAGGCAGAAGTTTTCTGCAGGGGTGGAACCCTCATGGAGAACCTCTGCTAGGGCAGTGTGGAAGGGAAATGTGGTCTTGGAACCTCCACACAGAGTCCCTACTGGGGCACTGCCTAGCAGAGTTTTAGGAAGAGAGCCACCATCCTCCAGATCCTAGAATGGTTAGATCCACCAGCAGCTTGCATTGTGCACCTGGAAAAGCCACAGACACTCAACACCAGCCTGTGAAAGCAGCCAGGAGAGGGGCTGTACCCTGCAAAGCCACAGGGGTGGAGCTGCCCAAGGCTGTGGGAGGCTACCTCTTGCAGCAGCATGACCTGGATGTGAGACATGGAGTCCAAGGAGATCATTTTGGAACTTGGAGGTTTAATGACTGCCCTATTGGATTTCGGACTTATATGGAACCTGTAGCCCCTTTGTTTTGGCCAATTTCTCCCATTTGGAATGGGTGTATTTACCCAGTGCCTGTACCCCCATTGTATCTAGGAAGTAACTAACTTGCATTTATTTTACAAGCTCGTAGGCAGAAGGGACTTGCCTTGTCTCAGATGAGACCTTGGACTTGGACTTTTGGGTTAATAACAGAATGAGTTAAGACTTCGAGGAACTGTAGGGAAGGCATGATGGTGTCTTGAAATGTGAGGACATGACATTTGGGAGGGGCTGGGGTAAAATGATGTGATCTGGCATTGTCCCCACCCAAATCTCATCTTGAATTCTAGTTCCTATAATCCCCACATGTTGTGGGAAGGACCCGGTGGAAGGTAATTGAATAATGGGGCAATTACCCCCATGCTGCTGTTCTCAGGATAGTGAGTGAGTTCTCACAAGATCTGATGGTTTTATTAATGGGCTTATAAAACTCCTTGCTCTGCACTTCTCCTTGCTGCCACCATGTGAGGAAGGACGTGTTTGCTTCTCCTTCTGCTATGATTGTGTTTCCTGAGGCCTCCCCAGCCATGCTGAATTGTGAGTCAATTAAACCTATTTCCTTTATAAATTGACCCATCTGGGGTATGTCTTTATCAGCAGCATGAGAACAGACTAATACACCATTGTATTAGTGTGCATTTCTAATGGATACATAAAATACAACAAGGAAAAGCGAATTTGTAAAATAGAAGGAAAATAGTGGGAAGTCAGAAAAGTAAAATGCATTCTGCGAAATTCTAGTACTTGCCATGGCAGAAGTATGGCATGCATGTCATCATCATACTTTCCAAAATCTATGATAAATATAGGTAATTTATCATAGGATCATTCCTACAGAGCCTGGGCTTGGCCTAAGAATGCTTTATGCACAGTGCTCTAAGAAGCATTACCAGTAGTCAGTTTGAGAAAAGAAACTCATCCTCATCTGCCATTTATGTCCATTACCCTTGCTATAAATAGGAATACAGTTTTGACTTTAAGCTTCTTGGCAACTAAGACATAGCTGTGAATAGAATCATTTCTTTATTTCCTTTTTTGCTATTGTTTTTTAGAATTATCTGTTTGGGGATATTAAGTATTTACCAATTTGAGTTCTTTAGTACTCAAGATATACTTGATATATGTAGTTATTGAAGGAGGGGCTTTAACACATGCTTCTCAGGTGAAAGAATGGAAGAGACAGACAAAAGGAAAGAAGGATGGAAAGGATGGAAGGACATATTTAGAATAGCAGGGTCATGTTTTTATAACAATCTACTTGAGATTGTTAACTGGAAAAAAGGAAGAGGGGAAGGAGTAGTGGCAGTCAGCCAAAGGAAAGAGTACAAAACATATTAGATGGTCACTGCCAATCCAAGAGTCTTACTATAGGCCTTATCTCCATTCTGCCTTAAGATATAAAATATTGGACATATTCTTAAAAGATTTGTGACAAAGAGTAATATACTGCATGACAATAGGAAATTATCTAATAAAAAGGACTGAATTAGATATTAATGCTTTTTTTGCTAGTTCAGTTTATAACAGTTTAAACGTGATTTTTTAATATCCTCTTTAATGCTCTCTGGTTTAGGAGTTTTTGTTTTAAGTTAGCAGTTCATTTCTGTTCAGTTTTCACATTCTTTTTATTTTCTTGGACTTTTTAATATTGGAGGTGATCCTAGTGAGCAAAAGATGTTACACTAGTAAAGGAGGAAGTTAAATGTCCTTTTCTTTTTTTTTTTTTTTTTTTTAAAAAAAGATGTTACAGTAGTAAAGGAGGAAGTTAAATTTTTTGTTGTTGTTGGTTGGTTGGTTCGTTGGTTGTTTTTCAAGACAGAGTCTTGCTCTGTTGGCAGGCTGGAGTGCAGTGGCTTGATCTCAGCTCACTGCAACCTCCGACTCCCTGATTCAGGCTATTCTCCTGCCTCAGCCTCCTGAGTAGCTGGGATTACAGGCACGTGCCACCACACCCAGCTAATTTTTTTATATTTAGTAGAGATGGGGTTTCACCATGTTGGCCAGGATGATCTCGATCTCCTGACCTCATGATCCTCCTGCCTCGGCCTCCCAAAGTGCTGGGATTACAGGCGTGAGCTACTACACCTGGAAATGTCTTTTTAACATAATGTCTTTGGATCCTTAGGCTGTCACTTTTCCAGCCAGAAATTCCTATGGCTGGTGGTGCCTTTGTCCAAGTTTTGCTTGAGCCCACTGGGCTCATTCTGCTGACTCAGCCTGGCAGGTTGTTATCAGCTTGTGCTACCAGCCCAGATCCCATGCCTGCCAAGGGCAAGCCAGGTGCAGAGTGGCAAGGGGTGTGTGAGTGAACATGGGGTCCGGCCACTGCACACAGCCAGGCGTGCCAGCTGCTGTGGCGGGGCATGCAGCTCCAGACAAGCCTGCTGCTGGATCCAGTGTACCACAAGCAGCTTCCGCTGTGGGCATCCATGTCTGAACAAGGGGAATGCAGTGGTGCCTGGAAGCATGGAGACACCAGAAACCACAGAGCCCCAAAGAGGGTTTCACAGCCTTGGCTCAGGGAGCCAATTGGTCTGGGCTCCCCAAGGGCCGCAGCTCTTCTCTCCTTGTTGCCCGCAATGTGTCAAGCGGGGTAGGGGGCCATTTCAGCCTCCTGTTTTGTTCAGCTCTTTCAGTCCTGTCATTGGGTGGGTCCCTAGTTCTTTTCCCGTATCCAGGAAAAATGTACACAGACAGCTGGAGGGTGGGCAAGGTGGAGAAGAGCTTTATTGAGTGACAGAACAGCTCTCAGGAGACCCAAGTGGTAGCTTCTCTGCAGGCAGGTTGTCCTGACAAGTGTCCAGCTCTCAGCGGAGAGGAGACCCAGAGTTGGTAACTTGTTTCTGTAGGCAGGCAGTCCTGAGTGTAACCCTCCATGGAGGGGAGACCCGGAGTGAGTAGCTCTTATTTGCAGGCATGTCATCCCAATGAGTCGAGGAGACCTGAATTGGGTAGCTCCTTACCGCAGCTGGTAGTCCCAATGTCTGTTTGAGTCTGGCTGAGTCAAGGGTTTTTATGGACTCAGAAGGGAGGAAGTGTGTGCTGACTGGGCCATTGGCAGGCCCAGAAAAAGCACCATAACCTCTCATTCTGGGTGGTAGACTCCATCTGGAACTGACAAGTCAGCCCCCTGGCTGAGTTGAGTCTTCAAGCTGTCCCTGGCTTGAAGGTGGGGCTTCATGTCATCCATGGCACCCAGGCTATTCATGCCAAGGGGTGCCTGCACCAGGCTACCCTTATGCTGCCCTTGGCCTCCCTCCTATGCTCGTCAGTGCCCAAAGTCTGGAGGGGGCCAAGGTGGCAGGGGGCTGGAGTGTCAGCACTATACATGCATACCCAGCCAGGTTACAACAATGCCTGGACTCGGCCCACAACTTTGCTCTGAAATTGGAGTGGGCGGCAGGAGCAGGCACTTCTGAGCCTGCGGGGCAGTGGAGCTTCCCAGGCCCCCAAGAGCGCAGGGATGCCCGGGTCTGCAGCCGCAGCTGAACAGCTGCGCCCAGGAGGGTGGGGCTCTTTCCCTTCCAACTTGGGAGAGGAAGGGTCTTCCACCTGTTCCCGGATCCTGCCAGCTTCATGGAGTGTGTAGCTCTGGCCACACCTCCCCTGCTGCAGCCAGTGTCTTTGCAGCAGCCACTCCAGACAGGCTACCGCTGCCATCAATAATATACACATACAAAATTGTAAGTATTTCAGTGATGGTTTTTAATAGTTTTGCTTCTAGTTTGAAATCCGTTGTATATTAATCAAATATATATACAAATATATTGAAACCTGAAAGTTAAATCCTACATGTATTTTGCTGAAATCTTAATTGGATAAGTTTATAATTACAAATACCAGATGTCTCTGGAGGCTTAGTATTTAATATTAAGATATTAAGTCCTCTGTAAAAAATGCATAATCTAGTTTTTAAAGCTATTTATGCAGAAAGAATGCTTATTATCAATTTCAAAATTAAGTTTCCCTCCTTAGATTTTCTAGACTTAAAAAATTATATTGAAGTTTATTAATAAATGGAGTGCAAATGATCTGTGCTTATCAGTTGCTTCTTTACAGTTACTTACCTAATTTTTAGCACTGGCTCAGGGAATAACTTTGGGGAAATATCTAACATTCTGAGTCTCTTTTTCTTCTATAAAAGAAATACTGTATGATCGTCTAGCTGGTTTTTTGGGGGGAATTACTATGTTTAAAAACCCTAAAGCTCTACATTTTCTGATCATGACCCAAAGCTCTAGGCATTGAGAATGAAAATAGTGATGATTATAAGGTTCAAATCATTTGAGTAACAGCTCAATTGGCAAATTTTTTAGAAGAATGTCATGATCCAGGTTTCTATAATGTGACTGTATAAATGAAAATGATGATTGCGGAATATTTTCTACTGAAAGAAATTGTCTGGAGGAATTCATAAAGTAAATGTGTTTCCTTAGTCAGAGGTACAGCATTCAAAAAATTTATTCTGTTAACCTGTTTATAAGATTCTTAATGTAGTTCTGTATATTATGTCCCTAACTAGTAAAGATTTACTTATTATTTTAGTAACTAGAATTGAATCTAATTTAATTTAAAAGGTTAACTAGACTTATATGTAAAATTATAGAAAGATAATTTAGAGAATTGAGTCTTCACTGTTTAGTTTTAACTAACAAATGACTATTTTCAAATGAGTTTTAAGCTAAAACCCTTACCAGAGCAAATATCTGTGAATATTACTCATTTTATGGGCATGGCAGATGTATGTTCTACAGGTTGAGCACTCCAAATCTGAAAATTCAGAATCAAAATTGCCCCAAAATCTCAAACTGTTGAAGCTCCAATATGTTACTTGAAGGAAGTGTTCATTGGAGCACTTCAGATAAATATAATGCAAGTATTCCAAAACCCAAAACACTTCTGGTCCTAAGCATTTCAGATTAGTACTGAGCCTGTATTAGCTTATTTTGTGGCAATAGTGGCAATTTAGTAGTTAATGACAATCAACTTCTGTATTCTCCTTCCTATCTTTCTTCTGTCACTGCGATGTTATCTTCTTTTAAAAATCCTCATCTTAATTCTTGTGCTATAAAAACCTGTTTTTTAAAAATAAGTCCATCTACTTGTTTCATAATAACAGTATTTTCCCTTTCTCTGTGTCTCTCTTAATTGTTGGTCCTGGATTCTCTACTCTTCACACTCAGCGTATGGCAGCTGCACATGGCGGCTTGATTAACTCTTATAGCTTTGTTTCCACATATATGCTGATTATTCCAAATCTCTGTCTTCAGTTCAGACCTCTGACTTGACCTCCATATATCTAGTTGCCCACTAGACCTCTCTGTTTGTTTTTGTGCCAGTGAAATATCCTTGTGTCATAAGCGAGCTAATTTTCTCTCCTTTCCTACCTCCTGAACCACTCAGATTGATTCCTCTTCCAGAGTTCCCTATTTCTAATTAAATCCATACACATATCCAAGCCAGAAACTTTTAAGATTTATTTTTGACCCCTTCCGCTGTTTTACTTCGCACATCTGGTTAATCACCAAGTCCTACTATCAATTCTAAATTCTCAATTTTGTGTTAGTCTGTCTACCTCTATCTCATCTCTTACTAAGTAGTCTCTTTTTCCAGTTTTACTCCAATCTGTTTTTCACAATTCAACTTGAGAGTTTCTTTGAAATACAAACCCAATAATGCCAGCTCTTTTACTAAAACTTTTTAGTGATGTCACTTTGCCTTTGAGATAAAATTCAAGTTCCTTAATATAACATAAATATGCCTCCCTCATTTCTCAGTACATTTTTAACTGTATAACTCAGTAATATTGAACTTCATTTTGCTCCTGCAAAATTCCAGCTCATGCCTAGTGTTTCCCTTCTGCCTAGAACATCCTTTTACAACCCATTACTTATTCCCTTCACCAGGATAATTTCCTGTTTGTCCTTAGATATAGTGTCAAATATTAAACTTTCTGATAGATAACTTCCTTTACTCCTAGAGTTGTTATCAACAGGGTGCATACTTCTCTAGCACAGCAAATCTCAGTGTGCTCTGTGGATCCCTAGGAGTCTCAGAAGCCCTTTCATAGAGTTGGGGGAGGAAGAGAATGGTCTGTGAATGCAAAGAATTTTTATATTCATACTAAAACATTATTTGCCTTTTTTATTGTGTTGCAATTTGTACTGATAGTTCAAAAGCAACAGTGGATAAAACTGCTGGCACCTTGGCACAAATCAAGGCAGTTGCACCAAACTATAGTAATAGTCATTGCATTCTTCATACATTAGCAATTTCTTTTAAAGCCAGTTTTACTTAAAAATGTCATGGATGAAGCAGTAAAAATTAATTTTATTAAACTAAACTCTTGAGTAATTGTGTTTGTGTTACATGATGAAATGGGAAGCGCAGAAAAAGTACTTCTGCTACATGCTAAAACATGATGGTATGACAGTTATCCAGCCATTTTCGGTTTAGCCATTGTGTTAAGCTGTTCTCACATTGCTATCTATAACCTGAGACCGGATAATTTACAAGAAAAGAGGTTTAATTGGCTTATGGTTCTGCAGGCTATATAAGAAGCATAACATCAACATTGCTCAGCTTCTGGGAAGGCCTCAGGAAGCTATTATTCACAGCGGAAGGCGAAGCAGGAACTTGCGTGTCACATGGTAAAAGCAGGAGCAAGTTTGGGGGACTTCGGGGAGTTGCCACACACAAGAACTCACAAGGTCTCACAAGGTCTCACAAGAACTCACTGTTGCAGTGATAGCATTAATTCATGAGGGGTCTGCCCCCATGATCTAGACACCTCCTACCAGGCCCCACCTCCAGCATTGGGGATTACAATTCAACGTGAGATTTGAATGGGGACAAATATCCAAACTATACCAGCCATACACTAGAAATTTACAAAAATATGAATGCCATTCTTATTGATAAATTTTTTGTTTTGAAAACCATAGTTCTTTTACAGAAATTATTTATGTTCGTATATGATGGTTTTATCATTGCTATTTTCAATGAGTTAATACATTTTTTAAAAGTATTTCACCTATACGTTCTAATATGGTAAATAGCAATACATTTAGCCCGCATAAACAAATGCTCTTTTTGGGTATTTGGTAATTTTTAAGAGTACAAAAGAGTTCTGAGACCAAAACATTTGAAAACCCCTGCTGTAACACATTTTATTTTTATTCTAACTTTTCTTAGATTTTACTATAATTATTTATGGTCTGTCTTTCCTGTTAGAACACATTGTAAACTCTGGAAGTAAAGTCCACATCTGCCTTGTGGATAACTTAGCTCCTAGAAAACTGGCAGCACATACTAGGCCCTCAGTAAATACTTGTTAAGTTCAGCAAGCATGTGCTGTTAACATAGGTTAGTCATAAAGGGTTACAAAGATAAATAGAGCATGTTTCTTCCTCTTTTGCACCCTCTTACATTTACAGTGATCTCATAGTCCAGTGGACCATGAATGCAACTAGCAAGAGAGTGTTATAAATGGAGTAAAAGGGAATGTGCTGTGAAGGCAGAGGAATTAATGATAATTTTTATGGGAAGATTTGATGAATTTATCTCAGAGCTAATATTTGGTGTGAACCTTGAAGGATGACTCGCAAAGGAATGAGGGCTTAACAGTGAGAAAGAAAAGATTAACAAAGACGTATAAGTACATAAATACATTGTATTTTCAGAAAACAGTGACTAGTACAGCTGACTGAGTTTTAGATAATAAAGAGCTTTGAATATTATGCCAAGCAATTCATCCTGTGTTTCTGCAGTACAGGTGAAGCCATCTTAACATCTTAAGAAACAATATATTTTTAAGAGGAGGTCTCTGCATCCATACACTGTTATATGGGTTGAAAGATACTCTTTAATGGAGAAACCAATTACAGTAATAATAGATGAGACTGTGAACTCTGGGTAGATCCAGAAAGAAGATAAGTACAAGAGATTTTACGGAGTTGTAATACCTGGTTGAGGTAGGGAAATACAAAGGTTGTGCTGAACTTAGCGTTATTTCACAGAGTAGAAGATATATTGTGGGGTAGAGAACATATTATGGGGTAAAAAATGAGAAAAAGAGTTAAGGAATGGGAAGTTTAGTATGGTTTGGGATAAATTGAATTTGTACGTATTTCCAGGACTCCTTTGCCAAAATATTTATCTTGCATGTTGTTGAAAATATGAGCCTGGACCTAAGAAACACGTTCAAAAATCAGAAAATAGTTACAGAAGTCTCAACTGCAGTCCAGGTGCAGTGGTGCATGCCTGTAATTCTAGCACTTTGGAAGGTTGAGACAGGCAGATCGCTTGAGGCCGGGAGTTTGAGACCAGCTAGGACAGCATGCAAAACCTCACCTTTAAAAAAGATACAAAAAATAGCCAAGCATGGTGGCATGTGCCTGTAGTCCCAGTTACTTGGGACGCTGAGGTGGGAGGATCACTTGAGCTCAGGAGGCGGAGGCTGTGGTGAGCTAAGATTGCACCACTGCACTCCAGCCTGAGTGACAGAGCGAGACCCTGTTTCAAAAAAAAGTCTCTACTACATTTGGCATTATTTTGATTGGTGGAACCACATGTCATCTGGAACATAACCTGAATCAGTCTGGAGAAAGATGATAAAATAGAAAGAGAGAAACTTCAACTGTGGAACTTTAGAGAAGGCTTACGTATAACAATGATGAAGCCACAGTGAACGTAACAGTTCAGAAAGTCAGTCATCAGTGGGATACAGATTAAGAGGATGTTCTTGGATTTAATGATTAAGTCATCATTGACCTTGAGAGGGATTTGTGCAATGTTAAGGGTGACATCTAAATTTCAATGATTTGAAGTTCAAGTGGGATGTTTATAGAGTAATGATACTCTTAAGAGGAGTGTGATAGGGAAAGGTTAAGGGGTAATGCCTTGAGGGAAATTCAGATCAGTTCTACCTAACTTGACTATAGCACATATTATTCTGTACCTGTAAATCTATAGTGAAAAATATTAATCTTTTGAATATCTAAGGTAAATTCATTTTTAATGCTAATACACAGTATTAACAAAATTAGGGGATGGAGAGAGCTTAGAAGAAGAGAAAAGGTAGAGACTATTGGAATTGAAAAGTTATTCAGTCTGAAAAGCTATAATTGAAAAGCAGAAAAATTTTCTGCTTTATCCATGACAGTACCAAGTAGCCTCAAGCAACCAGAATGTTACTCACACAACCCGTGGGTTTGATCACTTGCTGGTTATCAACCCAGTGACCACAACTAAAGATCAAGGGAATTTTGTTACTTATTACAAGTAAGGAGAACAGCAGGAAGAGTTCCCAAAGCAGTGCCCCTCTGAGCTGGGGGCTGGGTCAGGTTTTATAAGCACAGGGTAATGAGGTGAGATGTGATTGGATCTTGCAGTCAGGTGACACCAGAGGCATCATCTGACTGAATCCTGTGATGGGTGATACCAGACCTCAATCGGATTGGATCACGGATACTGCCATGCAGCATCCACTTCTTTCCTTAGTCTAAGCGCTTAGCACTTAGATTCCCCCTGTGATTGCATGCTTAGTTGATCTGGGCTTATCAGGTTATGTGACCTAAGGGTCCATGGGAACTGAAAAATAGCTCACAGCTTTTTTACATAAAAGTTGAACCAGACTGGTTTTATGTGGTTATGACAGCACATAGAATGATATATTTTCAGTCATTCAAAAAAATATTTGCTGAGTGTTACTGTATTTCTAGCTAGGTAACATGGAAAGTAATAAAAGAAGGGTAAGGTTTTTTTAAACATCAAGATTAAGACAGATAAATATATGTAAAGTTACAGATGGCTAAGTTTATATTTAATTCAACATATTTCTGTATTATTACTCTTGGTTGCTTTATTTTTAGATTCAAGGGGTACTTGTTACAAGGATATGTTGCGTGATACTGAGGTTTGGGCTTCTCTTGATACCATCACTCAGATAGTGAATAGAGTACCTAATGGGAAGTTTTTTATCCCTTACCCTCCTACCTCCCTCCTCTACGTTTGGAGTCCCCAGTGCCTTGTTCTCATCTTTATGTCCCTATGTACCCAGTGTTTAGTTCCCACTTGGAAGTGAGAACATGCCTCCAGCTGCATCATGTTGCTGCAGAGGACATGATTTTCTTCTTTTTTATGGCTGCATAGTATTCTGTGGTACACATGTATCACATTTTCTTTAGTCCACTATTGATGGACACCTAGGTTGATTTTGTGTCTTTGCTATTGTAGATAGTGCTGTGATAAACATAAGGGTACAGCTGTCTTTTTGGTATTTTTTATTTTCCTTTGGGTATATACTCAGTAATGGGATTGATGGGTCAAATGGTAGTTCTAGTTTTAGTTTTCTGAGAAACTCCAAACCACTTTTCATGTGGGCTAAACTAATTTACATTCCCACCAACAATGTATGTGTTCCCTTTTCTCTGTATCCCTGCCAACATCTGTTTTTTGGCTTTTTGATAATAGCCATTCTGACTGATATGAGACGGTGTCTCATTGTGGTTTTGATTTGCATTTCTGATGATTAGTGACGTGGAACATTTTTTTCAACGTTTGTTAGCCACAGGTATGTCTTCTATTAAATATCTGTTCATGTCCTTAGCCCACTTTTTAATAGGGTAATTTGTTTTTTGCTTGTTGATATAAGTTTCTTATAGATTCTAGATACTACAGCTTTGTCAGATCCATAGTTTGCAAATATTTTCTCCTATTCTCTAGGTTGTCTGTTTATTGATAGTTTCTTTTGCGGTGCAGAAGCTCTTTAGTTTAATTAGGTTCCACTTGTCAGTTTTTGTTTTTGTAGCAATTGCTTTGTAGGATTTAGTCATATATTCTTTGCCTAGGCCAATGTCCACTACAGTGTTTCCTAGATTTTATTCTAGCATTTTTATAGTTTGTGGTCTTCACGTAAGCCTTTAACCCATCTTGCATTAATTTTTCTATATGCTGAGAGGTAAGGGTCCAGTTTCATTCTTCTGCATGTGGGTAGCCAGATTCCCCAGCACCATTTATTAAATAGGGACTTCTTTCCCCATTGCTTATTTTTATTGACTTGTTTGAAAATCAGCTCCTTGTGTGTGGCTTTATTTCTGGGTTCTTTATTCTGTTCCATTAGTGTATGTATCTGTGTTTGTACCAGTGCCATGCTATTTTGCATACTGTAGCCTTGTATTGTAGTTTGCAATTGGGTAATGTGATGTCTCCAGCTTTTTAACTTTGGCTGAGGATTGCTTTGGCTATTTGGGCTCTTTTTTGGTTCCATGTGAATTTTAGAATAGTTTTTTTTTTAATTCTGTGAAAAATAACATTGGTGATTTGATAGGAAGAGCATTGAATCTGTACATTGCCTTGGGCAGTATGGACATTTTAACAATACTGATTCATCCAGTTCATGAGCATGGGATGTTTTTCCATTTGTTTATGTCACCTGTAATTTTTTTTTTAGCAGAGTTTTATAGTTCTCTTTGTCAGAGATCTTTCACCTCCTTGGTTGGATATATTCCTAGGTATTTGTGTGTGTGTGTGGGTGTGTGGGTGTGTGCACGCACGTGCACACACGCACACAGCTACTGTAAAGGGGACTGCATTCTTGATTTGGTTCTTAGCTTGAGTGTTACTGGTGTAGAATGGCCATTATAAATAGTATAGAAATGCTACTGATTTTTTAAATTTCTTTTTTTTTTTTTTACTACTGATTTTTATACATTGATTTTGTATCCTGAAACTTCACTGACTGTTTAGGAGACTTTTGGTGGAGTCTCTAGAATTTTCTGAAGAACAGAATCATACCATCAGTGAAGAGAGATAATTGACTTCCTCTCTTCCTATTTGGATGCCTTTTATTTCTCTTTCTTGATTGCTCTGGCTAGGACTTCATTATCATTTTATGTTCAACTATGTTGAATAGGAGTGATGAGAGTGGACATTTTGTCTTGTTGCAATTCTTAGGTAGAATGCTACCAGCTTTTGCCAGTTCAGCATGATGTTGGATGTGGGTTTGTCATCGGTGGCTCTTATTATTTTGAAGTATATTCTTTAGATGCCTAGTTTGTTGAGGATTTTTATCATGAAGGAATGCTGGATTTTTCTATTGCTTTTTCTGTATCTAGTGAGATGATCATATGGTTTTTAATTCTGTTTATGTGGTGAATGACTTTATTGATTTGTATGTGTTGAATCAATCTTGCAACCTAGGAATAAGGCCTACTTAATCATGAATTAACTTTCTGATGTGCTGCTGGATTTGGTTTGCTAGTATTTTACTGTGGATTTTTTCATCCATGTTCATCAAGTATATTGGCTGTAGTTTATTGTTGTTTTTTCATTGTGTCTTTGCTAGATTTGGCATCAGGGTGATACTGGTTTCATAGAATGAGTTAGGAACGAATTCCTCCTCCTCGATTTTTTTGGGGGGATAGTTCCAATAGGATTGATACCAGTTATTTTTTGTGCTTCTGGTAGAATTCGGCTATGAATTCCTCTGGTCTGGATTTTATTAATTACTGATTCAATTTCGGAACACATTGGTCTCTTCAGGGTTTCAATTTCTTCCCAATTTAATCTTTGGACATTGTGTGTTTTTAGGAATTTCCTCTAGAATTTCTATTTTGTGAGCATAGAGGTGTTCGTAGTAGTCTCTAGGGATCTCTTGTATTTCTTTGGGATTGGTATCATGTCACCTTGTCATTTCTGATTTTGCTTATTTGAATATTCTGGTTGTTTGTTTAACTAGTGGTCTTTGTTTAACTAGTGGTCTGTCAATCTTGTTTATGCTATTAACATTGATCATTTGTATGGTTTTTTGTTCTTGATTTCATTTACTTCTGCTCTAATTTTAGTTACTTTTTTCTTCTGCTAGCATTGCAATCAGTTTGTGTTTTTCCAGTTTCTTTAGGTACAATAGTAGATTGTTAATTTGAGACCTTCCTATCTTGGTGTGGCATTTAGCACTACAAACTTTTCTCTTAATGCTGCTTTTGCTGCATTGTAGAGGTTTTGGTATGTTGTGTTTATATTTTCATTTGTTTCAAATAGTTTTTGATTTATGCCTTAATTTCATTGTTTACCCAAAAGTCATTCAGGAGCAAGTTAATTTAGTTTCCATGTAATTGTGTGGTATTGAGAGTTCCTCTTGATATTGATTTCTATTTTTATTCCTCTGTGATATGAGAATATGCTTGATATGACTTTGACCTTTTTAAAATTTATTGAGACTTGCTTTATAACTGAGCATGTGGTCCATCTTAGACTACGTTCTGTGTGTAGATGACAGAAGAATGTGTTTTATGTGGTTGTTGGGTGAAGTTGTCTGTGGATGTCTGTTAGGTCCAGTTGGTCAAGTGTCAAATTTAAGTCCAGAATTTTAGTTTTTTGCCTCAATGATCTAAGCTGTGAATGAGGTGAAGTCCCCCACTATTACCCTGTGGCTGTCTGAGTCTTTTCCTGACTATAGAAGTAATTATTTTATGAATCTGCATGCTCCAACATTGGGTGCTATATTATTTAGGGTAGTTCAGTCTTCTCATGGAATTGAGCTCTTTATCATTATGTAGTGCCCTTCTCTGTGCTTTGTTACTATTGGTTTAAATTGTGTTTTATCTGATAAAAGAATAGTGACCCCTGTTTTTTTTTATATTCCATTTATGCAATAGATCTTTCTCTATCCCTTTACTTTGAGACTGTGTATTACATGTGAGATGGGTCTCTCAAAGACAGAAGATGGGTGGGTTTTTTTTTTTTTTTAATCCAATTTCCAACTTATGTCTTTCTAATGGAGCATTTAGGTCAGTTACATTCAAGGTTAATATTGATATGAGAGGTTGTGTTTCTTTCATAGTGTTATTAGTTGCTTTGTAGTCTCAATTACGTAGTTGCTTTATAGGATCTGTGAGCTGTGTGTTTATGTATGCTTTTGTAGTAGGGAATATTGTTCTTTTTCCTTGTTTAGAACTCCCTTAAGTATCTCTTGTAGGGCCTGTGATGGCAGTGAATTCTCTTAGCGACTGCTTGTCTGAAAAATACTTTATTTCTCCTTCATATATGAAGCTTAGTTTGGTGGGATATGAAATTCTTCGCTGGCATTTCTTTTCTTTTAAGAATGTTGTTTTAAAAAGGCAGGGAGCGGGAGCCCAATCTCTTATGGCTTGTAAGATTTCTCCTCAGAAATCTATTGTTAGCCAGATGGGTTTCCCTTTATAGGTAATCTTTGAGATTTTTTCTTTTGCTTTGACCTTGGATAGTCTAGTGACTATGTGCCTTGGGGATGGTCATTTTGTCTAGTATCTCACAGGACTTCTCTGGATTTCTGCATCTGTATGTCAACCTCTCTACCAAGATGGGGGAAATTTTCATGAATTATGTCCTCATGTATGTTTTCCAAGTGGCTTGTTTTCTCTTCTCTCTCAGGAATGCCAGTAAGTTGTAGATTTGATCGCTTTACATAATCCCTTATTTCCCCAAGGCTTTGTGTTCTTTTCTTCTTCTTATTTTTATTTGACAGGGTTGATTTGAAGAACCAGTCTTTGAGCTCTGAAATTCTTTCTTCTGCTTTGTCTAGTCTGTTAAGGCTTCCAACTGTATTTTGAAATTCCTCTAGTGAATTTTTTAATTCCAGATGTTCTGGTTGGTTCTTTCTTAATATGGTTATATTATCTTTCAACTCCTGGATCATTTTTCTGTTTTCTGTTGAATTTCAACTTTCTCTTGAATCTTGTTGAGTTTTCTTGCCATCCATATTCTGAATTCTGTATCATTTCAGTCATTTTATTCTGATTAGGATCCATTGCTAGGGAGCTCATGTGATCCTTTGGAGGTGATGGAACACTGGATTTCTATAATTGCCGAAGTTCTTGTGCTTGTTCCTTCTCATCCGAGGAAACTGGTGCTGCTTTTTTTGAATTTGCTATCATTGGGATGGTTTTTTTTTTTAATTTTTATGCTTTATTTCGTTGATATGACTGGTGTATGTTGAATATGATCATTTGATTTCATTTCTGGGTGTATTCATGTGTTATGGGTTCCTTGGTTGCAGATAGTTTCTACAGTGGCTTTCTCGGATGTTGCTTGGTGTAGAGATGTATTCTTGTTTGGTGGTGTAATTCAGGCTGCCGTCCAGTAGATGGCGCTTATGAGTAAGAGCCAGCAGGAGGCGACAGAGGCAAAAGAAGCATCCTTATCCCGCCAGTGCCACTGGTCTTCAGCGGGAGTGGAGCTGCTGGAGAGGCCTGCACAGCACCTCTCTCAGCCCACACGCTCTGGTCCCCAGCATGTAGAGCTGCTGCCGCATTCGTCCCAGTGCACTAATGAGCGGGGCTGGGGGCGAGAGATTACCCCCACTCTCCGAATTCATTCCTTGGCTTTGCTGTTGCCCCCTTCAGTGGCTTGTGCTTCACTTTTGTTTCCTTTGACCCAAGGAAGGCTTTGGCAGGCCACGTTCCTCCTTCTGTTGGGGCAGTCCACACTGAAGGTTAAATCTCCAGGGGACTGGAGACTGCTTCCCTCCCTGTCTTTGGACTGGTGGGCTACTGTCCCGCAACCAACCAAGGAAGCAGCCCGGGACACCCAGCAGTGACCCATGCAGACTTGTTCCAGGTCACAAAGCTGTCCCTGGCTGCAAGTCAAACCACGTAGGAGAAATACCAGCTTCAGCAACTCTCCTTCCACTCCGGTCTTGCAACAGGAGACAGCCTAATTCCAGCAACTACTGCTGGGGCACTCTCCACACTCACTGCCTGATTCTGGCTGTGGGGGCCTTTTCCCTGCTCCAGAGCAAGCACTCCAGTCTCTGACTGATACTAAAATGTCTGCAGTGGCTGCTGTTGCCAGGTGGCCAAACAGTGACTGACTTTGTGTGAGCCTGAATTTGAAATGGTGTCCTCCTCTCAGTCCTAGGTCTGGGAAAATGCCTGCAGCTTCCTGGTGTCTTTCCCTCACTATCTCTTAGCCTTTCCCCACACTACCTCCCAGTTTTGGGAGAAACAGGGCGCTCTCCCTTTGCCTGGGTTATACAGATAACTAGCAGAAAAGTGAGACACACAGGAAGACAGACTGCCCCTTTCACATACTGGGGCTTTCATTCATGTAACCAGCCAAACACCTTCACGAGGATTGCTGGCTTGCCTTCTCCTCCCCAGGGTCTAGGGTATCCTTTACTAGTCTGGTGAATTCCCATTTTCCTTCTTGAATTAAAGTTACATATTGATCTTTACGCACTATTTTTGCTATTTCCAAGTGGATGGGTAATGCTGAAAGCCTCTAATCCACCATTTTTGGGGAAAAAAGACAAAACTCTTGGTTGCTTAATAGTAGACATAGTAGTTTGCAAGTGTAAGGTGTTCTTGAGCAGCAGTCCCCAACCCTTTTGGCACCAGAGACCAGTTTCGTGGAAGACAATTTTTCCATGGACAGGGGTGAAGGGTGGTTTCGGAATGAAACTTTTCCACCTCAGATCATCAGGCATTAGATTCTCATAAGGAGCACTCCACCTAGATCCTTTGCATGTGCATTTCACAGTAGGGTTCATGCTCCTATGAGAATCTAATGCTGCTGCTGATCTAACAGAAGGCAGAGCTCAGGTGGTAATGCTTACTGGCCGCTCACCTCCTGCTATGCAGCCCGGTTCCTAACAGGCCACGGACCAATACCAGTTTGCAGCCCAGAGGTTGGGGACCCCTGTTCTAAAGCAAAGCCATAATTTTTCATGTTTTGCTTTTAAATATTAACTGTATTTGGTAAACAAGCTAACTGATAGGCATTTTATTTAAATATAGTTCTTTTCTGCAGAGTTTAGAAAAGTCTTGTGCTTTTTAGAATATTATTCCATGTTTTATGATTTATCCATTCAGGAACATTATCCAAAAGTTTTGACACATGCAAAATCCTATCCTATTACTATAGTAAGAAAATAATTTTACTTAGACTGTCAGCATACTAAGTGGCATTGTACCTATAGACACCATAACTTCTTCACGTATGGGTAGTTTTGTATCATAAAGAATTCCTGAAAATTTTTATAAGAGTAATATGAAATTCAGAAGTTGGACAGTTATAAGAAGACTTTTAATTCCATTTCCTTGAGAAATAGAAAATTATTAATTATGCCTCATGCTTTGAACAGAATTAGTAACAATATATTTTCAGTAGTTATACATGTTCTTTAATATTCATAAAATTGAGTACACGATTGAATTTTTAGCTTTTCAATTACGTGTCCAGTGATTACAAAATTGAGAGGTTGAAAATTCACTGTTTTAAGCAAGCTGAATGAATTTTATCTTTGTCTCAATTGTATTAAGATTGACAACTAAGCTTCTTATCCCTGACACTATTTTAATTTTCATTTCATTCAGGTTAGGATCCATTGCTAGGGAGCTAGTGCAGTCCTTTGGAGATGTTGAAACATTTTGGCTGTATTGTGTTTCAGTTTTCCAGTAATTTGTATCAAATGATGGACATTACAAAAACGTATAATTGACAATGGCATATGCAGGGGAAAACAGAGCCCAATTTTTAAATTCCTTCATCTGGTATTTAATGTCTTCCCCAGTTTGTTTACAATCGCATTCTTTTGAGAAAGTATAGCAGTAACATTGTTTGAAAGCATCTTGAGAGGAGGAAAAAAAGCAGGTAAGAAAAGCAGGGATTAGTATGAAGTCTGCTGCTAATTGGAAAACAAAGGAAATTTTTAAACACTTTCGAGATGTAGTATTCAGGCCTGGGCAGAGTCTATGTTTGGGACCTATAGTGGAGAATGGAGGTTGAGTCTTTGGCTTTCTAAACCTTCTACCATGAAGTTTATGGGGCAGCTGCTATTTAAAGAGGTACAACAGAAACTGAAACTCTGTAGAAGAGCCCTCTTCTTGGGTTGCACCCAACTCCCTTCCTGACTTCTTTCATTTTACCAGGCAACTGCTGTGTAGCCGCAGGCAGGTGGCCACTAGAACTCACGCCCTTCCTTCCCTGGCTCTTTTTCACTCTCCCTGTTTCACTTGGCCTGGGGAGATTACCTAGCTGTGGGTCGGCCAAAGGCAGAGGTGGCTTCTTTAGTTGTAATGTTGCACAGAATTCTGAGATGTTTCCCTATTCCAAGTTTTATAATATATTCCATTGTAAGCTTATTCTTACTATGTGGATAATAGCCAAATTCCTGGTATTGAGCAACTGTATATGGAAAAATATATAGACATTTAATCTCAAATCTTATTCTTTGTTTTTTAAATTACAGTCCTCAGTAGTATTATACATTTATTATATTGTGTATGGTTCACATTCTTCCTCAGTTCAGCTCTCTATACAGAAAAGCATGTAAAAATAATTCATAAAGCATTTTATTTATATAGCAATTACCTAAATTATATTTTAGCTGTGTGTATTTAAGGATAATAGCTTTGTCTTCTTTATCACTGTATTATTGAAACCTGTGGAATGCCTGGCATGTAAATAGTTAGTATATAGTTGAATAATCTAATATAGAATGTTAGAGGGTAATTGCTTTATTTCTGGAGAATATCATGAGTTTTTTAGGTATTTTGTTTTAAGAGACAGGGTCTTGCTGTGTTGCCCAGGCTGGAGTGAAGTGGTGCAATCATAGCTCATCATAGTGGACTCCTGGGCTCATGCAGTCCTTCCCCTCAACCTCCCAAGTAGCAAATATATGTATATAGATAAATATATATATATGAATAAATATATAAATAAGTATATATATGAATGAATATATATGAAATATATATATGAATATATGTATATATGAAATATATATGAATATATGTATATATGAAATATATATGAATATATGTATATATGAAATATATATGAATATATGTATGTATGAAATATATATATGAATATATGTATATATGATATATATATGAATATATGTATATATATGAAATATATATATATATGAATGAGACGGGACACCAGGCATGGAGGCTCACGCCTGCAATCCCAGCACTTTGGGAGGCCTAGGCGGGCGGATCACAAGTTCAGGAGATTGAGACCATCCTGGCCAACATGGCGAAACCCTGTCTTCACTAAAAATACAAAAATTAGCTGGGTATGGTGGCGTGTGCCTGTAATCCCAGCTACTTGGGAGGCTGAGGCACGAGAATCCCTTGAACCCAGGAGGCAGAGGTTGCAGTGAGCTGAGATTGCACCACTGCACTCCAGCCTGGTGACAGAGAGAGACTCTATCTCAAAAAAAAGAGAGAGATGGGGGGTCTTGCTGTGTTGCCTAGGTTGGTCTCGAACTCCTGGCCTCAAGTGATCCTCCCATATTAGCCACCCAAAGTGCTGGGTTTAAGGCATAAGCCACTGTGCCCGACTGAGAATGCCAATTTTAAAATTTTAAAATTAAGAGTATAGCGTTAATTTTAAATCTAACCAAAGATGAAATGTGAACTACAGGTGGAAGCCATCTTTGAAATACAGAAATTTTTAGGCCAGGGCTGGTGGCTCACACCTGTAATCCCAGCAGTTTTAGAGGTCAAGGCAAGCGGATCACTTGAGTCCAGGAGTTTGAGACCAGCCTGGACAACATGGCAAAACCCCATCTCTACAATAAATATAAAAATTAGTGGGGCACGGTGCTACGCACCTCTGTCCTAGCTACTTGGGAGACTGAGGCGGGAGGATCACTTAAGCCCGAGAGGTCAAGGTTGCAGTCAGCTGTGATTGTGCCACTGCACTCGAGCCTAGGTGACAGAGAGAGACCCTGTCTCAAAAAAGAAAAATATATAAATTTTTGAAGAACTTTAGCCATCTGGATTATTTTCCCACCTCAGTTCTCCAAAGCAGTGGTTTTGGACTCCAAAGAAATATTGTTACCTGTGTTAATTTGATAGTGGTTAAAACACAGAACTTTCAGCTGTAAATATGAGTGTAGAGTGGTCAAGTACTTCAGAGTGAAGTACTCAGTCACTCTCTAAGCCTTTAAGCAGTATTTGTTTAAGAATCATTCTTGAGGAAAAGCCTACCCCCCAAAGATCTTTGTACTGTTATGGATTAACTCCAGGTTGAATACAAATAGAATTCACAGTATCCTATCATTAAACTTTATCATAAAAACACAGGAGAACCCATGTCCAAATGCCAGATTTTTTTTTTAACTTTTAAATTCAGGGGTACAAGTGTAGGTTTGTTACATAGGTAAACTTGTGTCATGGGGGTTTGTTGTACAGATTATTTCATCACCCAGGTATTAAGCCTAGTACCCATTAGTTATTTTTCTTGATCCTCTCCATTTTCCCACCCTCCAATAGGTTTCAATGTGGGTTGTCCCCCTCTGTGTCCATGTTTTCTCATTTAGCTCCCACCTATAAGTGAGAACATGTGGTATCTGGTTTTCTGTTCCTGCGTTAGTTTGCTGAGGATAATGGCCACCATGGCCATTGTCCCTGCAAAGGATATGATCTCATTTTTTTATAGCTGCATAGTATTCCGTGGTGTATATGTACCACATTTTCTTTATCCAGTCTACTGTTGACGGGCATTTAGGTTGATTCCATGTCTTTGCTATTGTGAATAGTGCTGCAGTGAACATACATGTGCATGTGTCTTTATAATAGAATGATTTATATTTCTTTGGGTATATGCCCAGTAATGGGATGGAAAGTTATTTCTTTTGTTCATTGAGGAATCACCACACTGTCTTCCACAATGGTTGAACTAGTTTACGCTCCCACCAGGAGTGTGTAAGCATTCCTTTTTCCCCACAACCTTGCTAGCATCTGTTATTTTTTGACATCTGACCGACGTGAGATGGTATCTCATTGCGGTTTTCATTTGCATTTCTCTAATGATAAGTGATATCAAGCTTTTCTTCATATGATTCTTGGCTGTGTGTATGTCATCTTTAGAAAAGTGTTCATGTCCTTTGCCCACTTTTTAATGGAGTTGTTTTTTTTCTTGTAAATTTGTTTAAGTTCGTTGTAGATGCTGGATACTAGACCTTTGTCAGATACATAACTTACAAAAATTTTCTCCCATTCTGTACGTTGTCTGTTCACTCTGTTGACAGTTTCTTTTGCTATGCAGAAGCTCTTTATTTTAATTAGATTTCATTTGTCAATTTTTGCTTTTGTGCAACTGCTTTTAGCATCTTCATCACGAAGTATTTGCCTTTGCTTATGTCCTGAATGGTATTGCCGAGGTTGTCTTTCAGGGATTTATACTTTTGAGTTGTATCTGTAAGTCTTTAATCCATCTTGATTTTATTTTTGTGTATGGCTTAAGGAAGGGATCCAGTTTCAAACTTCTGACTATAACTAACCAGTTATCCTGGCACCATTTATTGAATAGAGAATTCTTTCTCCATTGCTTGTTTCTTTGAGTTTTGTCGAAGATCAGATGCTTGTAGGTGTGTGATCTTATTTCGGGATTCTCTATTCTGTTCCATTGGCCTATATATATGTATTTTTTTAAACCAGTGCCATGCTGTTTTGGATACTGTAGCCCTGTAGTATAGTTTGAAGTCAAGTAGTGTGATGCCAGAGTTTCATCAGCTGTCATAGTGGCTGAGAACTTAAGAAAGGGTTAGAGAATTCTAGCCCCCACCCCCTTTTTTTTTTTGGAGTCTCACGCTGTCGCCCAGGCTGGAGTACAGTGGCATGATCTCAGCTCACTACAACCTCCACGTCCTGGGTTCAAGCGATTCTCCTGCCTCAGCCTCCAGAGTAGCTGGGATTACAGGTGTCTTCCACCACACCCTGCTAATTTTTGTATCTTTAGTAGAGACAGGGTTTCCCCATGTTGGCCAGGCTGGTCTCAAATTCCTGACCTCAGGTGATCCACCCACCTTGGCCTCCCAAAGTGCTGAGATTACAGGCATGAGCCACCATATCCAGCCCAGGTTAGAGAATTCTAAAACCATTAATTCTTCACTTAATAACTGGCCCAAGGAGCATTTTAATTTTCCATACCATTGTATTAGATTGTAAAGCTCCATGAAAACATGTTAGAACTATATTATTTTCTACGTCTCAAGGCCTGGCACCAGTAGCCTTGTATATAATGCAATCCAATAATTGAGTGAATGAATAAATTCTCTGTGAGAAGGGACCATAGAGTTAATTTCCGAATGCCCAATAGTGCCAATCTCATGATTAAGTTAACTCTAACGTTATAATATGGAGATGACAACATTGAGGTTTGAAACAGGGAAAATTAATAATCCTCTGTTTTCTTTTTACCCCTAGAAGATCTCTTCCATGTTTTCCATGTTTTGTTTGTCTCAAAACAAAAAACAGTCTCATTCCTGTCGCCCAGGCTGGAGTGCAGTGGCGTGATCCTAGCTTACCACAACCTCCACCTGCTGGGCTCAAACAATTCTCCTGCCTCAGCCTCCCAAGTATCTTGAACTACAGGCATGTGCCACCATGCCCACCTAATTTTTTATTTTTTGTAGAGACAGGGCTTCACCAATGTTGCCCAGCCTGGTCTGGAACTCCTGAGCTCAAATGATCCACCCTGCCTCAGCCTCCCAACGTTCTTGGATTAAAGGCCTGAGCCGCTGTACCTGGCCTCTTTTCAATTGTTTACCATTTAGTACAACGATGTGACCCAAAGTATTTAGAATAGGATGGAATCATAAATACAACAGATGAAAACATTATGGATGATCCCAAGGAGAAAAACAAAGGATTAAAATGTTAGGGAGTAGACTATTCGGGAAAAGGTTTTTTTAAAAAGGGGACTTTATATCTTCAGAAGATGTTCGTAATCTAATGGCTGTACTATTTAGTTCCTTACCCTAGTTTGCATCAGACAGTAGGTCCACTTTTAGCTGACTTATATTTAATGAAGAGGAGAGAATTTTTCAAGCATAGCAGATTAGAAACCTCAAGAAGACAGAAGGATCAGATTTATTAATAAGAAAATGTGACAGTGAGTCAAGGGACCAACTGTTTTAGAGAAAAGCAATAAATAATTCCAAAAACAGCCATATTTATTGTAGAAGCCAACTCCTATATGTCTATAAAAATCACTAACGGTCATGATGTATACTCCTATTATCAAGAAATTCTGTTGTCTTGAGATGGGGTCTGACAGTATTGACCAGGCTGGGCTCAAACAATCTTCCCACCTCAGCCTCTCAAGTAACTGGGACTACAGGTGCATGCCACCACACTCAGCTCACTAAGTCATTTTTAAGAAGACTGATAAGTGTATTAAATCATAAGAAATTTCTATGAAATATAAAATGTATTCTTAAGCACTAGATACTTCCCCTTTGTTAAAGAAACATGTCCTACCACAAAATTTAGTTGTCAAAAACTACTGCAGTATAGGTTGCCAGCAAGTTATTTGTGCTATAAATAAGAGATGAAATAATTGAAGGAAATAATATTTTAAAATATTATTATAACTCACCTGTGTTGTACACCCATATCTCAAGACATAATCACTTAGGGCAATGATATGAGCAAATGTAAATCTGTATTTACGTTAGCCTTTTTTATAGTTTTTTCCAGCTTTTGTCAGGATCTGATTTAGTCACTTTTTGCCTCACTATTGCAAAGAGTGTTTTTACTAGGAAGAGAAGTATCAAATCTGTTGACTTTTTTTTTTTTTTTTTTTTTTTGAGACAGAGTCTTGCTCTGTCACCCCAGGCTGGAGTGCAGTGGCATAATCTCGGCTCACTGCAAGCTCCGCCTCCCCGGTTCACGCCATTCTCCTGTCCCAGCCTCCCGAGTAGCTGGGACTACAAGCGCCCGCCACCATGCCCGGCTAATTTTTTTGTATTTTTTTAGTAGAGATGGGGTTTCACCGTGTTAGCCTGGATGGTCTCGATCTCCTGACCCCTGACCTCGTGATCCACCCGCCTCGGCCTCCCAAAGTGCTGGGATTACAGGCGTGAGCCACGGCGCCTGGCAAATCTGTTGACTTTTTTTCTTGCATTTGTATTAGTTTTAGTTTTTTTTGCAAAGAATCTTGATGAGCTACTCCTTTGTGAGACTTAGTTTAATTAAGTCAATAATTCACTGTATGCACTTAACTAAGAGCAAGAAAACTCAATACAGTCGCAGGATGCAATAAGGGAACGAATAGCAGGGATGCCATTGTTATTCCTCCTTAACAAACAGAAAGCTCAACCATCAGATAACAGGGTTGTCTGTGTAGGGTTGTGTATTAGGGTTCTCCAGAGGAACAGAACAGAATAGAATGGGTATATATATATAGCCATGTGTCACTTAACAACAGGGATGCATTCTGAGAAATGTGTCATTAGTCAATCGTTGTGTGAACATAGAGTGTACTTTCACAAACCTAGATGGTATAGCCTATACATACCTGTAGGCTATATGGTATAGTCATTTGCTCCTAGGCTACAAACCTGCAAAGCATGTTTTGTACTGAATACTGAAGGCAGTTGTAACAATGGTATTTGTGTATCTAAACATAGAAAAGGCACCATAGAAATATGATTATAAAAGATTAAAAATGGTATACCTGTATAGTGCACTTACCACGAATGGAACTTACGGGACTAGAAGTTGCTCTGGGTGAGAGTGAATGAGTGGTGAGTGAATGTGAAGGCCTATAACATTACTGTATACTACTATAGACTTTATAAACACTGTGCACTTAAGCTATACTATATTTACTTTTTAAGTTTCATTTTCAGTAAAATCAATCGTAGCTTACTCTGTTTTGCTTTATAAATTTTTTAATATTTTTAACTTTTTGACTCCTTTGCAGTAACACTTAGCTGAAAACACACATTGTAAAAAATAATTTCTTCCTTTATATTCTTATTCTATAAGCTTTTAAATTTTGTTTTTTTTACTTTTTAAACTTTTTTGGTAAAAGCTAAGACACAAACACATTTGTTAGTCTAGACCTACACAGGGTCGGGACCATTAATATCACTGTCTTCCACTTCCAAATTTTGTCCCACTGGCAGGTCATTACTGGCAAAGGAGCTCTCATCTCCCATGGCAACAATACTTATGGAATACCTCCTGAGGGACCTGCCTGAAGGAATACACTAATATAACAAAAGTGTAGTAAATACATAACCAATAATTATTATCAGTATCAGGTATTATATACTGTACATAATTCTGTGTGCTTTACTTTTCCAAGACTGGCAATGCAGAATTGTTTATACCAGCAACTCCGCAAATGTTAGTAATGCATTGCACTAAATCATCACTAGGCAATAGGAAGTTTTCAGCTCCATTATGTTTATGAGACCACCATCATATATGCCATCCATTATTGACTGAAAACGTTGTTATGTGGCTCATAACTGTATATATAGAGATAGAAACTTATTTTAAGGAACTGATGCACATGAATCGTGGGGGCTGGCAGGTCCAAAATCTGCAGGGCAGGCTAGTAGGCTGGACACCCATGGAAAAGTTGATATTGCAGCTTGAATCTGGAGGCTGAATTTCCTTTCTGGGAGCAAACTCAGTCTTTTTCTATTAAGGCCTTCAACTGATTGGATGAGGCCCACCCACATTGTAGAGAGTAGTCTGCTTTACTCAAAGTCTGCTAATTTAAAGTTAATTTCATCTAAGTGCCTTCACAACGACATCTAAACAGGTATTTGATCAAATATCTAGGTACTATGGCCTAGTCAGGTTGATGCATAATATTAATCATCACAGGGTCTGAAGTGTCATTTCATGTATTAAATATCAGTACAGCTTCATTTCTTTCAGAAATTAAAATCACAGATAAATAGAAGTTCTGATACTGGCTTCCCACACTTGTAAGTAATATTATATATTCTCTACTTTTAGGAACATAGGAGTGGACACCCTGTACAAATAGCCTTGTTAAAACTTGAAAGCCAAATGTTTCATTAAGTATATACACTTTCACAAGTAAATCACTGACATATATTAAAATCACATTAGTTTGAATTTATGATTAACATCTAATCAAAAATTTATCTTTGCTAACTGGAAAAAGGATTTTTAACAAATAAATAAGAAGTATTTAAGCATTTAAGAATAACAACTTGATTTTTATTTTAAAAATTATAGAATTTAAAAAATATTCTGTAATGATTTTACTATCTCAGAATTACTATTATCTTCTATTTTCTTATATGTTTTTACATTGCTGCTTTCAAAATCTGTATATTTATATTCTGTTTTTACTGTCAGGGTAAACATTCTGTATCTAGTGTGGTCTTCATGTTTATTTTTAATGGCTGTATAATCAAGTTCATGCTTCATGTCTTTGTTTCTATCATGTTATCCTTAAGAGAAAATTTATAGTAACATTGCAGTTCAAAGACTATGAATGTTTCATAGTTCTTACTAAATATTTTCATTTTGATTTAAAAGTAATTTAAAAGGTTGCCACTAATAGTATTCAGACTCCACACCACACAAGTTAGCCACATCCAAGGAGTAAGCCATTCACATGGGTAGATGTTTATACTGACTTAAATAAGAACAAATGGTGGTCCTGCCTCCTAACCCAGCCCTGGAGCAACAAAAAAGACCATCATCATTTATTACCCAAATACTCATAGCATTGCTTCCTCTTTCCCAGCCATATTGTGCATCCCAGGGGACATCTCCCTGACCTACTTGCTGCTCTAGGATGCCCAGTGTTTGCTCACCTCCTACTCTGACCCTGACAAGCTCATCTTACTGGGATGTCATAGGTTGCTGGCAGTGTGTGCACTTACAGGTTCAGGGTATGTGTGACACACATTTGCACAGCCAGGTTGCTTCTTCATGGGCTCTGGAAAGCCTCTCTGGGCAGGCAACTTGGGCCATTGCATACAGTTCTTTAGTTTATACAGAATAGACTAACTTAACATTTTTATTTGAAGAAGCTGGGGGTACCTTTTCTTCTAAATTCTTCTTCTGTGATGCAAAGACACAATATAGATCAGCACAGCTCTGAAACTTTTTCATTTTGTCACTGGTGTGTGATGATTGTGTATATGTAAATTTTATAGTTTTTGCAATTTATGACTTTAGATACATGTTTGTATTTGTTTTGTGATTTCTAATATAGATTAGTATTAATGGCTTTCAGTTTGTTTTTTACTTTCTTATTGGGTTTGTTTATATTTTTATTCAAACCATTGTTTTGTGGTTTTATTTTAGTGCTGTAAAGATTAAAAGAACATGGCCGGGCGCGGTGGCTCACGCCTGTAATCCCAGCACTTTGGGAGGCCGAGGCGGGTGGATCATGAGGTCAGGAGATTGAGACCATCCTGGCTAACAAGGTGAAACCCCGTCTCTACTAAAAATACAAAAAATTAGCCGGGCGCGGTGGTGGGCGCCTGTAGTCCCAGCTACTCGGGAGGCTGAGGCAGGAGAATGGCGTGAACCCGGGAAGCGGAGCTTGCAGTGAGCCGAGATTGCGCCACTGCAGTCCGCAGTCCGGCCTGGGCGACAGGCGAGACTCCGTCTCAAAAAAAAAAAAAAAAAAAAAAAAGATTAAAAGAACATTTTACTGCTGACTTCATTATTTTTTTTCTTTAGCATAAACTCTGTATATTAAATACTTTGTGTTCAGATTATATGTAACTCAATACCAATTTACCTGAGGTTTATGTGTATATGTGATTTAGGGAATGAATGAACCTAACTTATCAGATAAGTTTATAGATGGAGCTGAAGCTATCTGTATTCTGTTCCTTTGTTCAGTTTTATTTACTATATAGTTTTGAATATTGTTTAATTTCTGATTTTTCCTCATTTCTTTTAGTTCAAAAAGAATTGTTTTAGGAGATACTCATTTAAATTGAATTAAATATGTAAATACATTTGGACAATAAATATTTTTACATCACGTAGTTTTCTTGTACAGGAACATTATTTGAGATAATCAAAATATTAATATTCCCTTATGTTTTCTGTTATTTGCAAAAGTTGTTAATTTTGAATGCAACTTTTTCAAATACTTCAAAACTATAGCAAAAAAGATATGCAGAGGTCAGTGCTGCTAAGCTGGTATTTGCTTCTTTACATCCTCAAAGAAGTAAATAAGTAATCCCAGCACTTTGGGAGGCCGAGGCAGGTAGATCATCTGAGCTCAGGAGTTCGAGACCAGCCTGGCCAATAAGGTGAAACCCCATCTCTACTAAAAATACAAAAATTAGCTGGGCGTGGTGGCTCACGCCAGTAGTCCTGGCTACTCAGGTGGCTGAGGCATGACAACTGCTTGAACCTGGGAGGCAGAGGTTGCAATGAGCCAAAATCACGCCACTGCACCCCAGCCTGGGCAACAGAGTGACACTCGGTCTCGAAAAAAAAAAAAGAAAAAAAAAGTAAATAAAAATAATACACTTTTCTTTTTTAAAAAGTCTATAATTCGGGTATTAATTTCTACTGCCATTGTGATTTTTCTTCATTTTGTAACAGTCCAATCAAAATGACATTCATTTAACTGAATTTCTGAGTTAGTTGTATACTCGTTTATATTCATGGCTTCAAAGAAACAACATAAAGTTCTGGGTTTTTATTAGCAAATGTGCGCACATATACACACACGAAACACTTAAGTCTCAGTATTTCCATGTCACTCTCTAACCACAAAAGTAAAAATTCTGAATAAACTTCTAAAACTATTAGTGGCTAATAGAAAGTAAAAGTTTTTTTTTTTTAATCTCCCCCAAGCATGGTGAGGTAGGCAAGATTCTGAAGATGCCCCCGCTTCCAAAATTGTTATTCCTTGTTAATTCAGTCAAATGCTAATCTAGGTACTGCCGAAATGATTTTACAGAATCAATTTACTTAAAATAGATTATCTGGGTAAACTTAACCTAATCACCTAAGTCCTTAAAAACCAAGAACTTTCTTCAGATTTAGCAGAAGAGGAGGGGAAAAGAGGGTGTCAGGGAGATTTGAAACATAAGAAGGATTTAATGTGCTATTGGCTTTGAAAACGGAGGGGGCAGTGATCTAAGAAATATGGGTGGCCTCCAGAAGCTGAGAATGACTCCCAGCAGCCAGCCAGCAAGGAAACAGGGACCTCAGTCCTACATCCACGCTAAACTAGATTCTGCCAAAAACCTGAATGAGGCTTGAAATAGATTCTATACCACATAGTCCCTAGATAAGAGCCCAGACCAGCTGACACCTTGGTTTCAGCTTTATTAGAGTCTAAAAAGAGTACCAGCCATGCCTGCCTGCACTTTTGACCTATGGAATTGGGTGTCGTTTTAAAGTTAAGTTTGTGGTAGTTTGTTACCCAGCAATAAAAACCTAATACCTAGGGTTGTTTTCAAAGTGAAGTATAACATTCATAGTATATATTTCCATTGTATATTAATCTTATGCATGGAAAACGATTAAGATGTATCCAAACTGCCATTTCCTTCTATATTAGATATAGAAAGCATAAGTATTAAAAGCTCAGGCTGCTAAATATTTTAATCCCATCTGAAATCACTTATTAGCCATATGACCTTTGGTGTATTAAGACTTAGTCTCCTCATCTATAAAATGAGAGTAGTAGTACCTACTGATAAGAACTTTGCATTGCTGCTGCAGTGGCCGCTGTCATTGTTATATGGTAATGATATTCATGATGATAGCAACACAAAGAATATTCTCAATAAGAGCAGGAATCTGGACATCTACGGGAAAAAAGCCATAGCTAAGATCTTTTTACTTAATTCTTTATACCTTTCTCTGAGCTCTGTATATGGAGTTTCTGGGTTATCCTTTTGTTTTTTCCAGATATTTTACTTAGAAACCAGATATACTTGCCTTTGTTAAGAAGCCTCTATTCTCAGATCTCTGGTCTCAATTTTCCAGAAAAGGTCTGTAAGATAGTAATATGTTCTTGAAAAGGGAGTTTGTCAGCAAAATAAATTTGGGGAAACATTGGACTAAAGAAATTAAGTTCCTTAACCATACAGCTATTAGACGGTTACATTCTTTGTGTAGCTTTTCAAAAAGAGAATACATTTCCTACATTCATTGACCTATTGACTAAAGAGCTTCTTGCAAGACTATTTCATGAAATGCTCTTTGAGAAAAACTTTTTTCAGATATAAATCATTAATTCTATGAGCCAATATCTGGTTCCCTTCTTTTCTTGTTAAAGCTTAAGTATGGTATGATAGGCAGAATTTTTTTCATCTACTTTGTGCAGGTTGTTTAGCCCATAAGTAACCTTTGATCACCACACTTACCTCTTGCAATGAATTTTTTATTTCCTAATCACCAAAACACAGAGGAGAAGCTGTTTTCTGGCTTACACATTGCAATCAAAACCAATAATCTTTAACCAGTCAGTATTTCAGGGATTTTTTTATGCATACAGAAATGAAATGGATTATATGAAAAATGCTAAGGGTAAGTTGCCAAATAAATGAGAATAAGCCTAGTCTCATGCAGAGTCAGATATTTTCTAACTATTTTTTTCTGCTGTTCCTTAAATGACTGAGACAAGAGGAACTAATGATTTTATGTCATCTCAGGTATCTAGTAATAAATTTTACCCACTTCTCATCTAACAGCCCCAAAAGTGGACATTAGAAAAATTTCTCATGTGTATGACTGTCATCAATTCAAGAAGTGACAATGCTGTGTACAAACTGACTCTCAACGCATTTTCTTTTTGAATTTTCCCTGCTCTAAAAGATACGAAATAGAAACCTATTTTTCTCATTCCCCTACTTCAAAGCAGCAGAGATGATAAATAAGGCCTAGATCATTGATTTCAAAGTATTTTAACCATAGAATCTTTATTCAGAAGAAACCTTTTATGGAAGCCCACCATATGAATCAAAATTGCTGTTCTGGTTGAAGGTTATAAAAGTTATAGCCTACTGTTATCTCCCATATCTGCCTTTGCTGGCCCTTCACTGACTCTAGAGAATGCCTCTGGCTCTGTAGAGAGCACTTTGAAAAAACAACAAAAAAGCTACTGTAAACTACATACTTGGGTAAATATTGCCAGGTTTTCTTACTCAATAAGCAAAAAAAGCTTACTTAGAATTACAGCTCTTTCTTAACATGTCTTGAGTAGTTCAAAATGCTGTTGTCAGCACTGGCCACACACCAAACAAAATTATGTAGGAAATAAAAATCCTATATTTCCTTATTAAAATACATAACCAGCAGGGTGGGAATCAAGGGGGCGAGAGTAAAGAAATACGATCTTGAACTCTGTTTTGGAAAAGAAAAGACAATATTGAGTTAAAAACTGTATATGAAATTTAAATTTAAGTAGAAAATTATAATTTGAATAGCTTATATACATCATTATATATACCAAGGGTATTTCCTCAATTCTTTTCCGCTGAATAAAGGAAAAAATGTCAAATGAAGTTATAAGTTAAGTTATAAAAATATTTTTAAATAATGCAGTTTTAAGATTATCTGCATAAATTTGTCTAAAGAATCAGAAGTGAAAATTTAAGGAATATAAATGAACATTTCAAAGTAGCATTAAAATGTAGAGGCAGCATAACAGAAATAAACTTTTTAGCCAAGCTTTGTTTTCCAATTAGTGTGTTTTATCACTTTACAAAATGCAAATGAAATGTAGGGCAGATATGCTGAAAAGAGAAACCAGCCTAACAGCATTTTAGTTCGTTGTCCTTTAGAGAGTCTTTTGCTTCTCGGTGACAGAGTCTCTTTACACTCTTGATTCCATGTTGAGGCAGTGAAAGAAACTCTGGTTCATTATCATTGGATCTGACAGTGCCAGGATTACACCAGTTTTTATTCAATATATGACACACTAAGAAAGGTTCTTGTTAGAGCTTTGCTGCTGTTAGATGTATATTAACATGACAAATTAGATTTTCATGAAATGTGGTTCCTAATTTACTAGAGAGTGATTTTTTAAATAATTTACCGCTGCAAGTTGATATAGAAAAACTAGAATTGGGCAAGAGAGTGATATTTTATTCTGTCAAGGGCTGACCAAAAATTTTATAATTATTTTTTACTTTTTTATTATTTGAATAGATTTGGGGAGTACAAATGCATTTTTGTTACATGGATACATTGCGTAGTGATGTCTGGGCTTTTAGTGTAAATGGTACCCAGTAAGTAGTTTCCCATCCCCCACTCCCCTCCCACCTTTTGGATTCTCCAATGTCTATTATTTCACTCTGTTTGCCACATTGACAAACAATGTCAATGTGTTTGTCACATTGCTTAGCTCCCACTTACAGGTTAGAACATGTATTTGGCTTTCTGAGTCATTATACTTAAGGTCATGGCCTCCAGTTCCATTCATACTGCTGCAAAAGACGTAATTTCATTTTTTATGGCTGCGTAGAATTCCATGATGTGTATGTACATATATACACCACATTTTCTGTATTTAGCCATTTATTGATGGATACAAGTTGATTCCATGACTTTGCTATTGTAGATAGTGCTGTGATCAACATACAAGGGCAGGTGTCTTTATATATAATTTCTTTTCCTTTGGGTAGATACCTAGTAGTGGGATTGCTAGATTGAATGGTAGTTACATTTTTAGTTCACCATTTTCCATAGAGGTGGCACTAATTTACATTCCTACCAATTGTGTGGTGGGAATCCTTGCCAACATCTGTTGTTATTTGACTTTTTAATAATGGCCTTTCTAACTGGTGTTAGATGATATCTCATTGTGATTTCACATGATTAGAGTTGTTGAACATTTTTTCATATATTTGTTGGAAACTTGTATGTCTTCTTTGGAAGAATGTCTGTTCATGTCCTTTGCCCACTTTTTAAATGGGATTGTTATTTTTCTTGTTAGGTTGTTTGAATTCCCTTTAAATTCTGCATATTAGCCCTATGTAGGATGCACAGTTTGCAAATATTTTCTCCCATTCCGTAGGTTGTGTGTTTACTCTGTTGATTACTTCTTTTGCTGTGCAGAAGCTTTTAAGTCCCATTTGTCTGTTTGTTTTTGTTCTCGTGCTTTTGAATTCATGCCTAGACCAATCTCCAGAAGAGTTTTCCCTGGATTTTTATAGTTTCAGGTCTTACATTTAAATCTTTAATCAATCTTCAGTTAATTTTTGTATATGGCAAGAGATATGAGTTCAGTGTCATTCTTTTGTATATGGCTATCCAGTTTTCCCAGCATTATTGACTGAGTAGGCTTTTTTCCCCATTGTATATTTTTGTTGACTTTGTCAAACATCAGTTGGTTGTAGGTATGTAGCTTTATTTCTGGGTTCTGCTTTGTTCCGCTGATCTATATATCTATTTCATACTAATACCACACTGTTTTTGTTATTATAGCCTTGTGGTGTAATTTGAAGTCGAATAATATGATGATTCCAGCTTGGTTCTTTTTGCTTAGGATTGCTTTGGCTAGTTGAGCTCCTTTTGGGTTCCATATGAATTTTAGACTTGGTGAAAAATGTTGTTGATAATTTAATAGTGATTGAGATTGCTTTGGGCTGTATAGTCATTTTAACAATATTGATTCTTCCAATCCATAAGCATGGGATGTTTTTCCATTTGTTTGTGTCATCATCTACATTTTCTTTCATCGGTGTTTTGTAGTTCTCCTTGTAGAGACTTTTCACCTCCTTGGTTAAATGTACTCCCAGATATTTTATATTTTGTAACTATTGGAAATGGGATTGAGTTCTTGATTTGGTTCTCCGTCAGATCATTATTGGTGGATAGAATTGCTACTGACTTTTGTATGTTGATTTTGACTTTACTGAAGTCACTTATTAAACAAAAGTTTCTTTGAAAAGATAAACAAAATTGATAGACTGCTAGCTGGATTAACTGAGGGAAAAAAGGTGATTCACATAAGCAACAGTTAGAAATGACAAAGGTGACATTACAACTGATACTGCAGAAATACAAAAAATCATCAGAGATGCCTTGAGTCTTGCACAAACTACATGCACAGACTAGAAACCCTAGAGGAAATGGGTAAATTCTTGGAAACATCCAGCGCCCTGCAACATTGAACCAGGAAGAATCAGAAATCCTCAACAGAACAATAACTAATAGTGAAATTGAATCAGTAGTAAAAACTCTCCCAACAAAATAACAAAAAGCCAAGGACCAAGTTCACAGCCAGCTCTACCAGATGCACAAAGAAGAACTGGTACCAATCTTACTGATACTGTTCCCAAAAATTGAGGTGTAGTGAATTCTTTCTAACTAATTTCTGTGAAGCCAATATCACCCGAATTCCAAAGCCAGGCAAGAACACACACAAAAAAAGACTGCAGGCCAGTATCCATGGTGAACATAGACGCAGAAATCCTTAACAAAATACTAGCACACCAAATCCAACACATGTCAAAAATATAATATACCATGAATAACTGAGTTTTATTCCAGGGATGCAAAGATGGTTTTTTTTGTTGTTGTTGTTGTTTTGAGACGGAGTTTCACTCTTGTTACCCAGGCTGGAGTGCAATGGCGCAATATTGGCTCACCACAACCTCCGCCTCCCGGGTCCAAGCGATTCCCTCAGCCTCCCAAGTAGCTGGGATTACAGGCATGCACCACCACACCCGGCTAATTTTGTATTTTTAGTAGAAACGGAGTTTCTCCACATTGGTCAGGCTGGTCTCGAACTCCTGACCTCAGGTGATCCACCCATCTTGGCTTCCCAAAGTGCTGGGATTACAGGCATGAGCCACCATGCCCAACTGCAAAGATGGTTTAACATATGCAATCAATAAATGTCATTCATATAAAAAGAATTAAAAACAAAAACCATATGATCACTTCAATAGACACAGAAAAAGCATTTTATAAAATCCAGCATTCTTTCATAAAACCCCTCAACAAACTAGGCATTGCAGGAACATACCTCAGAATAATAAAAGCCATCTATAACAAACCCACCACCAATATCATGCTAAATGGAGAAAAGTTGAAAACACTCCCCCTAAGAACTGGAACAAGACAAAGATGCCCACTTTCACCACTACTATTCAACATAGTACGGGAAGTCCTAGCCAGAGCAGTCGAGCAACAGAAAGAAATAAAGGGCATCCAAATTGGAAAAGAAGTCAAATTTTCTCTGTTTGCTGATGAAATTATATCTAGAAAACCCTAAAGAGTCCTCTAAAATTGTATAGTTAGAATGGTCTTTGGAGGTCATCTACTTCTACCCCCTCATTTCATGGATGAAGAAACTGAGACCTAAAGAAGATAAGTAAAATTTCTAAGGTCACATACTAGTAAAGTGTAGGTAAAGATAGAGAGAGCTCTGTTGATTATCTGTCTCCAGAGCCTTTTTTTACTGTACCAAACTATTTTCTATTTCTGTGAAGGGAAATTACATTGTGATTTTTTTATATTAAAGCATAAGTTGGTTTGAAAACTACTGCCATATACATATGTGTGTTTATTTGTGGTAGCAGAATTGGATTTAATAATCTTGCAGAAACCAATGAAAGAACCATTTAAGATATTTTCTTTTTTTAAAATACTTTTAAAATCAAAGTGAGTTTTAAAGCAATGTTAAGGGTAGGGGAAAAAAGTAGTACTAAATAATTTTTTCTTTGTTTTTTTTTTTTTTTAGATGGAGTCTTGCTCTGTCACCCAGGCTGGAGTGCAGTGGCACAATCTTGGATCACTGCAACCTCTGCCTCCCGGGTTAAAGCAATTCTCTTGCCTCAGCATCCCGAGTAGCGGGGATTACAGGCGTGTACCACCACGCCCAGCTAATTTTTGGTATTTTTAGTAGAGACAGGGTTTCACCTTGTTGATCAGGCTGGTCTCGAACTCCTGACCTCGTGATCGCCCACCTCGGCCTCCCGCATTGGAGAATTTTTAAAGAAATATAGTGAAATAAGTGACTGCACAACATTTCAAAAGGCACTTTTATAATGAGATTCAGAGAGTCTGTGGAAAGTCCATACCTGATTGGAAACATACACCTTTTCAGTTAACTATGATTTCTGACTAGAATGATAGTCACCCACCTCAATAGTCTTCTCCTTTACTCTCCACCATCCCCCTCCATTTGATCCTGGGAAAACCTTGCTTATTCTGCAGGCTCCAGCGCTCTGAGTTTCCCTTCCCTTCTCTGAGTGTTCTACTCCCGTAAGATTTTGTATACTCGTCTACCTAATGCAAACATTGCACTGTTTACACTTGTGTCTTCTTCACTGGACTAATTTCTTGAGTATCTGGACTCTCTTACTCAACTTTATATCTCAAGCTCTGAAACAGGCTAACAGATAGAATAGGTATTCAATAATGTTTGTCAAATTATAGGTATGTATACATGTAAAGTATTTTTAATGATGCTAAAGGTACTTGAATTTTTATAGATTTGAAATACTTTTTCACTAAATTTCAAATGAAAATGATTTCTAAACTGAGAAAGTTTCAATAGCTATATATTTATAATTATAGTTACTTAATATAAGCCTCTATTATTTATTGTCTTTCAGAAGAAAATTTTTTTAAGATACAGAGTCTCACTCTGTTGCCCAGGCTGGAGCTCAGTAGCATGATCATAGCTCAGTATAGCCTCTAATTCCTGAGCTCAAGCGATCCTCCCACCTCAGCCTCTTGAGTAGCTAGGGCTACAGGCATGCACTACCATGACCTGTAATGCTAATTTTTTAATTTTTTAAATTTTTTGAAGAGACAGTGACTAGCTATGTGGTCTGTGCTGGTCTTGAACTTCTGGTCTCAAGCAGTCCTCCTGCCCTAGCCTCCCAAAAGCACTAGGGTTACAGGCATGAGCCACAGCACCTGGCCTATACTCATATTTCTGTTTTTAGAACTTGGGCTTCTAGGTTGACAGTCCTTGTAGTTGTAATATTTTCTTTTCTTTTGAGACAGAGTTTCACTCTTGTTCCCCAAGCTGGAGTGCAGTGGCGCAATCTTGGCTCACCGCAACCTCCGCCTCCCGCGTTCAAGCAATTCTCCCGCCTCAGCCTCCTGAGTAGCTAGGATTACAGGCATGTGCCACCATGCCCAGCTAATTTTGTATTTTTAGTAGAGACAGGGTTTCTCCACATTGGTCAGGCTGGTCTCAAACTTCCAACCTCAGGTGATCCGCCCGCCTCGGCTTCTCAAAATGCTGGGATTACAGGCATGAGCCACCATGCCTGGCCTATAGTTGTAATATTTTCCACATCAAAAATTACAAATTATGATCTGACACAGGTTTATCTTATGTATGTTTGGTGGGTAGTACTCTGTGAATAAAAGGTAATCTGAAATAGAGTTTGGATAACAAAATACTGGAATTTCCAGGTCCTTTAATTGTAGTAAGAAAGAATAGTTCAATTAGGATTATCAAGAAAAATAAAGATCCTGTTGTACCATTTGAGTATTTCTGCTGTTAAATCATTTATTCTTAATTTGCTAAGGCAATTTTTTTGAAATCCAGATATCTAACCACAAACTTTGCCATTTAACTTGCAAATAAGATTTTTCCCCTAAGTAAAATTATGCTGTGAGAATTTGCATAAGGATTAGTGCTGGAATTTAGTCTTTATCAATGTTGTTGATTCCATACATAAAAGTTATCTTGATGTGAAAGTAGTTCTTATAGAATGATTTATTTTGGACTACATGATTACAAATCCTGTAAGAACTTACCAAGAGTAAATCTAAGAGAAACCAGGGTAGCTATACATAGCATTAATGTAAAAGAATTCTCTCTTGAGAAACAATTATAAGCAGTAATTAAAATGGGAAAAATGAGTAATTCAGTTTAATTTTATTCATATTTATATTAGGTATTAACTATTTAATTTGCAGAAAATTTCTAGAATGCTCATATTCCAAAAAGCATACAGTGGCTTATAAAAACAGATACAATTTTTTAAATGAGGAAAATAAAATGTATGAATATGGAACCAGAAGTGAGATTAATATAAACCAGTGAAAATGCTGGTGTACTCGTTAGAAGTTGGCCACATATTTAGCTCATCACCGTAGGTTCCCTAGAAAGTTGCTCCATTCCTTTAAAATGATTTTTATTTGACAGCCTTTTCTGTGTGAAATGAACCTGTCCAGGTTTACTTCATTTGACACTTAACCCTTTATGGGGTCCATGAACAGCAAGAGAAAAATCTTTTTCATTCACCTCTTTTTAACTTACATTTTAGGCTCAGGAGAACACGTGCAGGTTTGTTATATAGATAAATTCATGTCACAGATGACTTTGCCACCCGGGTACTAAGCCTAATATCCAATAGTTATTTTTTCTGATCTTCTTCCTCCTCCCATCCTCTACCCTCAAGTAGGCCCCAGTGTCTGTTGTTTCCCTCTTTATATCCATACGTCCTCATCACTTATAAGTGAGAACATGCACTATTTGGTTTTCTGTTTCTGCATTAGTTTGCTAAGTATGATTACAAATCCTGTAAGAACTTGTAAATTGGAGAGAAACCAGGATAGCTATACCTAGCATTAATGTAAAAGAATTGTTTCTCTCATGCAAAAAAAAAAAAAAAAGTTGTACAGATTGTTTTGTTACCCAGGTGCTAAACCTAGTACCCAACAGTTATTTTTTCTGACCTTCTCCCTCCTCCTGACCTCTGCCCTTAAAGTAGGCCCCAGTGTCTGTTGTTTTTCTCTTTATGTCCTTGTGTTCTCATCACTTATAAGTGAAAACATGCACTATTTGGTTTTCTGTTCTGCAGTAGTTTGCTAAGTATGATGGCCTCCAGCTCCATCCATGTTCCTGCAATGGACATTATATTGTTCTTTTTTATGACTGCAATACTATTCCATTTTCTTTATCCAGTCTACCATTGATGGGCATTTAGGTTGATTCCACGTCTTTGCTACTGTCAATAGTGCTGCAGTGAACATACATGTGCATGTGTCTTTATGGTAAAATGATTTGTATTCCTTTGGGTATACAGCCAGTGATAGGATTGCTAGGTCAAATGGTATTTCTGCTTTAGCTATTTGAGGAATCGCCACACTGCTTTCCATAACGGTTGAACTAATTTACACTCCCACTAGCAGTGTATAAGCATTTTCTTTTCTACACAAACTCACCAGCATCTGTTATTGACTTTTTAATAATAACCATTATGACTTGTGTGAGATGGTATCTCATTGTAGTTTTTATTTGCACTTCTCTAATGATCAGTGATATTGAGCTTTTTTTAATATACTTGTTGGCCACGTGTATGTATTCTGTTGAGAAGTGTCTGTTTATGTCCTTTGCCCACTTTTTATAATGGGGTTGTTTTTTCTTGTAAATTTGTTTAGGTTCTTTATAGATGCTGGATATTGGACCTTTGTCAATGCATAGTTTGTAAATATTTTCTCCCATTCTATAGCTAGTCTGTTTACTCTGTTGGTAGTTTCTTTTGCTGTGCAGAAGCTTTTAAGTTTAATTAGATCCCATTTGTCAAATTTTGCTTTTGTTGTGATTGCTTTTCACATCTTAGTCATGAAACCTTTGCATATTCCTATGTCCAGAATGGTGTTGCCCAGGTTGTCTTCCAAAGTTTTTATCGTTTTAAGTTTTACATTTAAGTCTTCAGTCCATCTTGAGTTGATTTTTGTATATGGTGTCAAGAAGGGGTCTAGTTTCAATCTTCTGCATAGGGCCAGCCACTGATCCCAGCACCATTTATTCAGTGTCCTTTCCCCATTGCTTGTTTTTGTCAGCTTTGTCAAAAATCAGATGGTCATAGGTGTGCAGCTTTATTCTGGGCTCTCTATTCTGTCCCATTGGTCTATGCGTCTGTCTACCAGTACCATGCTGTTTTGTTTACTGTAGCAGCTTTGTAGTATCATTTGAAGTTGGATAATGTGATGACTCCAGCTTTGTTCTTTTTGCTTAGGATTGCCTTGGCAATTTGGGTACTTTTCTAGGGTTTCATATGAATTTTAAAATAGTTTTTCTAGTTCTGTGAAGAATGTAATTGGTAGTTTGATAGGTATAGCATTGACTCTGTAAATTGCTTTGGGCAATATGGCCATTTTAACAATATTGATTCTTCCTATGCATGAACATGGAATGTTTTTCCATTTTTTTGTGTTGTCTCTGATTTCTTTGAGCAGTAGTTCTCATTCTAGAGATCATCCACCTTCCGGGTTAGCCATATTCCTAGGTATTTCATTCTTTTTATGCCAATTGTGAATGGGATTGCCTTACTGGTGTATAGAAATGCTAGTGATTCCTGTACATTGAGTTTTGTGTCCTGAAACTTTGCTTGAGTTGTTTATCAGCAGAAGGTGCTTTTGGGCCAAGACCATGATGTTTTCTAAATACAGGATCATCATGTCATCAGCAAATAGGGATGGTTTGACTTCCTTTCTATTATATTTGGATGCCCTTTATTTCTTTCTCTTATCCGATTGCTCTGGACAGGACTCCCAGTACTATGTTGAATAGGAGTGGTGAGAGGGCATCCTTGTCATGTGCTGGTTTTCAAAGGGAGTGCTTCCAGCTTTTGCCTATTCAGTATAATGTTGGCTGTGAGTATCTCATAGATGACTCATTATTTTGAGGTATATTCCTTCAGTGCCTAGTTTATTGAGAGTTTTTAACATGAAGGGATGTTGGACTTTATCAGAAGCCTTTTCTGCACCTATTGAGATGATCATGTGGTTTTTGTCTTTAGTTCTGTTTATGTGATGAGTCACATTTATTGATTTGCATATGTTGAACCAACCTGGCTTCCCAGGGATAAAGCCTACTTGACTGTGGTGGATTGGCTTTTCAATGTGCTGCTGGATTTGGTTTGCAAGTATTTTGTTGAGGATTTTTGCATGAGTGTTCATCAAGGATATTTCTTTTTTTGTTTTCTTTGCCAGGTTTGGTATCAGAATGATGCTGGCTTCATAGAATGAGGTGGGGAGGAGTCCCTCCTCCTCAGTCTTTTGGAATAGTTTCAGTAGGAGTGGTACCAGCTCTTTGTAGAATTCTACAGCTGTAGAATTCTGTGAATCCATCTGGTCCTGGGCATTTTTTGTTTGGTAGGCTACTTATTACTGATTCAACTGTAGAGCTCATTATTGGTCTGTTCAGGGAATGAATTTCTTCCTGGTTCAGTCTTGGAAGGGGATATGTGTTCAGGAATTTATCGGTCTCTTCTAGTTTTCTAGTTTCACTCCAATTAAAATTTAGCAATTCCTTCTTTTATGAATGTAGGCAGCAAAACTAGTATCTATGACTTTATTACTTAGAGAAATTACAGATGTTTGTATCATATTGTAGTTATATATATCAGAATACTTATTCTCATCACTACTTAGAAATTGTGGTAGTCATTATATTGCTGAATCCTCATTATTTAATGTGTTACTAAAGAAACACTTGTTACTATATCATAGCTTTGTTTTTCTTGTAATAGTATGATAACTATTTCAGGATAACTAATTTTGTGATTTGATTTATTCATGCATTTCTGAAAGCATTTTGAAAAGGGATCTGTCTTTAGACTGCTTAAAGGGGTTTGAGGGTCCAAAAATTATTTTAAAACCTTTGACTTAGAGGAAGAAGGTACACATGGTTGTATGATACAATCTTTCAAGACTCAAATTTATTCATTAGATGATTTAAATATTTGCTGAATTTAAGTTATAATTGGCAAAGAAGTTTTATTTGTTTGAAAACATTTAAGCAACTGAACATGCATTTTCAGGTAGTTCCTCTTGTGTTATAACAAGCACTTTTCTGTAGTTTTAGTTTTTTAATAATTTAATGAGGTATTGATTCTCAAGTTAGGTTCTCCTGCTATGTGCATTGCATATATTAATGTGGAAGTAAAGTGTATCAGTTAAGATCACTTAAGATTGGCCCTCTAGCCTTTTTTGATGAAGAAAGTACAGTCTTTTAATAGATACTCAAAGTCTATTGTCTTTAGCATACTTAACATATTCATGTAATACAGTACTTTCACATCAATGAACAGTAACAAAACACTACTACTGTTTATTTACATACACTTTCATAACTGTTGACTATGTTGTCACAAACTGATTTTATGCTGACTAGTTAGACTAAGATAATTTTATCTGTTTACTTATTTTACTTTAAAAGTTAAACTGGAATATGATTATCTAGGTATTCTAACCAATCTCCCAAACTGAAAACTTTTTTAAAATGATGGATAAATCTTCTTAGGTAAGAACTGATAAGGCCAAAATCCAAATGATGACGGGAAGCCAGAAAAGTAAGCAAAGCACAAAGCTTCTGTTGAGCTGAGAGCATTGGTCCAAACTGGCAAACTTGAGTGTTGGCTTTTACACTCCTCTTATAGAATTGAATCTCCAAACAGCTGCTTTCTCAATTTGGTGAACCAGAAGTAAATCTATTCCTTCATCCAAAGCAGACAGACCCTGAACAGGTTGAAACCATAGAATATCCCAAGCACAAATTCATATCTGCAAAGTGGGTCCACAAAACTTTAAACCTTGTATTTATTTAGTTGAAAGTGGCCCTAAACTGGTGGTACTCCAGGTAGCTTGACACAGCAAAGAGACTTCTACTCAAAGAATTTTCATAAATAATTTTTCAGGAAATGTAAATTGCTTATAGTAAAAATCATTACTAAGCATGTATGAAAACAAGGTACGACCTAAAGTCAGCAGAGGCAGCAAGAACAGACCTATAAAGGCTTTGTATATTAGAATTATGAATCACAATTTATAAAACAAGCTATTTTATGGTTTTAGGTCTTAAGTTTAAGTCTTTAATCCATCTTGAGTTAATTTTTGTATAAGGTGTAAGGAAGGTGTCCAGTTTCAGTTCTTCGCATATGGCTAGCCAGTTTTCCCAACACCATTTATTAAGTAGGAAATCCTTTCCCCATTGCTTGTTTTTGTCAGGTTTGTCAAAGATCAGATGGTTGTAGATGTGTGGTGTTGTTTCTGAGGCCTCTGTTCTGTTCCATTGGTCTGTATCTCTGTTTTGGTACCACTACCATGCTGTTTTGGTTACTGTAGCCTTCTAGTATAGTTTGAAGTCAGGTAGTGTGATGCCTCCAGCTTTGTTCTTTTTGTTTAGGATTGTCTTGGCTATACGGGCTCCTTTTTTGGTTCCATATGAAATTTAAAGTAGTTTTTTTCTAATTCTGTGAAGAAAGTCAATAGTAGCTTGATGGGGATAGCATTAAATCTATAAATTTGGGCAGTATGGCCATTTTCATGAAATTGATTCTTCCTATCCATTAGGATAGAATGTTTTTCCATTTGTTTGTGTCCTCTTATTTCCTTGAGCAGTGGTTTGTAGTTCTCCTTGAAGAGGTCCTTCACATCCCTTGTAAGTTGTATTGCTAGGTATTTTATTTTCTTTGTAGCAATTGTGAATGGGAGTTCACTCATGATTTGGCTTTCTGTTTGTCTATTATTGGTGTATACGAATGCTTGTGATTTTTGCCCATTGATTTTGTATCCTGAGAGTTTGCTGAAGTTGCTTATCAGCTTAAGGAGATTTTGGTCTGAGACGATGGGGTTTTCTAAATATACAATCATGTCATCTGCAAAGAGACAATTTAGCTTCCTCTTTTCCTATTTGAATACCCTTTATTTCTTTCTCTTGCCGGATTGCCTTGGCCAGAACTTCCAGTACTTTGTTGAATAGGAGTCGTGAGAGGGGGCATCCTTGTCATGTGCCAGTTTTCAGAGGGAATGCTTCCAGTTTTTGCCTATTCAGTATGATATTGGCTGTGGGTTTGTCATAAATAGCTCTTATGATTTTGAGATATGTTCCACCAATACCTAGTTTATTGAGAGTTTTTAGCATGAAGGGGTGTTGAATTTTATCGAAGGCCTTTTCTGCATCTATTGAAATAATCATGTGGTTCTGTTAATGTGATGGATTACATTTATTGATTTGCGTATGTTGAGCCAGCCTTGCATCCCAGGGATGATGCTATTTTAGAGAAAAGAATTGCTTGAAAATTTCTACGGGAAATAGAAACTTTAAAGACTAGCCATTTGGAAAGCCAAAATTATTTAAAATAAACTCAGTATATGGAATGAATTGAAGAGGAATTATCAAACTAGGAAACATTATCATCCAGATAACATTATTATCTTGTCTTGCCTCACACAGACAAGAAAATGTAAAATAAAAAAAATAAAATGGTTAAAGACAGAAGTTAAAAATGAAGTATAACTTTCATCTTTATTGGAGTTGCAGAAGGAGAGGCGAGAATGGGAAAGCCAAACCTCACTTAAAAGAAATTCTAAAGCTATCTTTCAGGCAGAAAAAAAGTGATCCCAAATGGAAAGTCTAAACAGATATACACCAGTAATAATAATAGAATTGAAATACACAAAATGACTAATTTATGTGGTTAACAGAATTTTAAGTGTTCTCAAGGTTTTGTATGGTCTGGGTGAAGACAAAGGCAATGTAAAATTTTCAAATTAGCAAAATCAAAAACATGGAATTACTAAGATTTAAAAAGGAAAAATCTAAAACCAGTTCTCAACTTTAGCTATACCATACATTCACCTAGGGAGCTTTTGAAAATCATAATGCCCAGACTCCATCGTACCCCTCAATTAAATCAGAATCTCTGGGTGTTGTTAAAACTTCCAGTGTGATTCCAAAGAAAGTACAGAGTGTGAGAAAAGAAACATAGAATAGGTAGAGCAGATAGAAAGTGCAAAAGTAATATAACAGATCAAAATATTCCAATTAAAACATAGATTGTCAGACTCTGAATATAAAAATCCAATTTATGCTCTTATGAGAGATATCCAAAACATGAGGCTTTAGAGTATCATTGCTAGAGATAAAGGAGACATTTTTTGTGATAAAAGGTGTGATTTAGTAGGAAAATATAACAATTTTTAATTTGTGCCTAATAGTATCGTATGCATATATGAAACAAATATTGAATAAATAATGAAATTTATTAACACTTCATATATATAATGAAAATTGACAAATCTATAGTTGTTTTGGGGAGATTTATTTTTGATGGTTGTTTGATCCAGGATTCATCAAAGATTACATATAGTATCTAGTTAAATATCTCTTGGACTGCATTAATACAGAAAACTCCCTGTGATTACATTAATGTTTCTGGTAAGCATGCTACATAGGTGATATTGGGTTCTCAGGGCATCACTCAGATTTTCAGTGATGTTTGATCTTTTGACTAAGGTGATGTCTGCCAGATTCCTCCCAAGTACCTTTAGTCTGTAATTTGTGGAGTGAATTATATACATAAACACCAAGTGAAGTTTCTGTTTTCACCAGTGGCTTTAGCATCCATTAGTGGTCTTGCCTAAATCAAGTTGTTTTTATTACAGTGGTTGCAAAATGGTGATTAATTTCTATCTTGCTCAAATATATTGGTTGGCATTCTTTTGTAAAAACATCTTTCCTTTCTCCCCCTTTCTTATTTAAGTACCTGTAGTCTCAGATTTTAAATCATTGTGTTAAAGTTCATTCTTATGATGGTGAAATCATCCCAAATTAGGCCAATGGAAATGCCTTTAAAGTAGTTTCTTTTACCTTGTCATAGTGTTTGAGCAGTGCTTTACTTTCTTGTACAATAAGATCATCGAGGCTTAACCATGTACTTTCTCTGCTTCAACCCTGGCATAAGCTGTTCCTCTAAGTAGTACAGGTTCCTTTTAGTGAGAGAACGGTATTTAGAAACCAAATTCTGAGTATTAGATATGCTTTTTGTTACTGTGGTGTCACTGCTTTGACATCCTTTCTTATGAAACCTCTAATTCTAATCCATCACTGCAGGGTTTTTTCCCTCCGTTCCCTCATTCTGAGTTTGTATCTCTCAGCAACTTTAGTTTATTTGCTATTTGCTCAGCTCTTCAAGACACACAAAATAATTTCAAGATGACTATATCAGCACTACCACAACAACAAACATTAAAATTCAGGATATTTTTGCAGTTCTTTTTTTTTGTCCTTAGAATATTACCCATCAAGATTATTGTCTTTAGAATAGTATGCTCAAATGGTATTGAATTATTGGTTTTCCTTCTGTGTTATTTGACATTTAACTAGATTCATTAGTTTATAGTGGTTTTATTTTTTGAATATGTAAAACATTAACAACTTCCAAAAGTCAAAACTACAATGAACGGTATACTCAGACATCCCATCTCATACTTAAAGCATCCACCTTGTTCCAGATCTTCTGAGGTTTTATTAGTTTCTGGGTTATCCTTTCTAGATTTCTTTTTTGCAAAAATAAACATATATGAAAATAACAAAATACCTTTAAATCAATTTGCAGAGATTATTCTGTTTTCTTAATGGTGGAAGATTGAGGAAACATTCAAAAAGTAAGACTATCAATATTTGAACAACATGATTAACAAACTTGCCCACTTATAAACATAGATGTAAAATCCTGAAAATACCTACACACAGTCGATTCTCATTTGTAAATTCCCTGTCTGTGAATTACCTAACTTACTAAAACTTACTTACTTGTAACCCTACAATCAATACTTGTGGCAAAAAATTTGACTCATTCTACACATAAACCTCCCAACTGAGGTCCAACAAGGTGAGCTATGCCTTGTTTCCGCTCTCTCACACAAACACCCTTTTCACAGCCTATTTGGTGTTACATTTTTTGTTTGTGCTTTTTGTTGATGTCTTTGCTTTTAAAACAACCCCCACATATGGTGTTGAAGTCTAGTGTTCCTGAGCACAAGAATGCTGTATTGTGCCTTAACGAAGAAAAATACATGTGTTATGTAAGCTTCCTTCAGGCATGAGTTATAGTGCTGTTGGCCACGAGTTCAATGTTAATGCATCAACAATACGTATTAAATACAGTGCTTTTAAACAGAAACATATAAATTCAAGGTATGTATTGATGAAAATGTTATGACCAGAGACCTAATCCTGTAGTTTCCATAAGAGCCATTGTTTAGCATTCACTAATTCAACATTCATGGTCACTTTATAGAACCAAATGACCACAAGTAGCCAGAATTTACTGTATATACACACAGACATATAAAACAAATCCTCAGATTATGAAAAGAATAATATATAGAAACCAAATTAGGACCTTCCAAAGAATGCAAGATTGATTTGACACTATACAATTAATGAATTTTTTTCTACCACATAGATTAGTCATATCTGCACAAATATATAGAATGCATTTGATAAAATTCCACATGGATTTGTGTCAAAAAAGGAAAAACCACCCTAGCTAAGCATAAAATGATTTCCTGAAGTCCTGGCCAGAGCAACCAGGCAAGAGAAATAAAAGGAACAAATAGAAGCAGAGAAGTCCAACTATCTCTGTTTGCAGATGACATGATTCTATATCTAGAAAACCCCATAGTCTCTGCTAAAAGCTCCCAGATCTGATGATCAACTTCAGCAGAGTTTCAGGATACAAAATAAATGTACAAAAATCAGCAGCATTCCTATACATCAAGAACATTCAAGCTGAGAGCCAAATCAAGAACACAACCCCATCCACAATTGCCACAAAAAGAATAAAATACCTAGAATACAGCTAATCAGGGAGGTGAAAAATCTCTGCAACAAGAATTGCAAAACAATGCTCGAATCAGAGATGACACAAACAAATGGAAAACATTTCATGCTCATGGATAGGAAGAATCATTATTGTTGAAATGGCCATACTGTCAAAGCAATTTACAGATCCAGTGCTATTTTCATCAAACTACCAATGACATTCTTCACAGAATTAAGAAAAACTAGTTTAAAATTCATATGGAACCAGAAAAGAGCCCAAATCACCAAGGCAATTCTAAGCAAAAATAACAAAGCTGGAGGCATCACATGTTACCCAACTTCAAACGATACTATAGGGCTACAGTAAACAAAACAGCATGGTACTGGTACCAAAACAGACACACAGACCAATGGACAGAATAGAGAACCCAGAAATAAAACCTACAACCATCTGATCTTCGATAAAGTTGACAAAAGCAATGGGGACAGGACTCGCTATTTGCTGGGATAACTAGCCATATGCAGAAGATTGAAACTGGACCTCTTTCTTACACCATACACAAAAATAAACTCAAGATCAGTTAAAAAGACTTAAATGTTAAACTAGAAAAACCTTGGAAGATAACCTAGGAAATACCATTCTGGACATAAAACCTGGGAAAGATTATGACAAAGATGCCAAAAGTAATTTTAACAAAAACATTGACAAGTGGGACCTACTTAAACTAAAGAGCTTCTGCACAGCAACAGAAACTATCAACAGAATAAACAGACAACCTACAGAATGGGAGAAAATATAACCATGCATCTGACAAAGGTCCAATATCCAGCATCTATAAGGAACTTAAACAAATTTGCAGGTAGAAAACAACCCCATTAAAAAGTAGGCAAAGGACATGAACAGACACTTCTCAAAAGAAGACAAACGTGTCCAACAAGCATATGAAAAAATGCTCAACATCACTAAACGTTAGAGAAATGCAAATCAAAACCACAGTGAGATACCATCTCACAGGCATCAGAATGGCTATTATTAAAAAGTCAAAAAATAACAGCTGCTGGCAAGGTTGCAGAGAAAGGGGAATGCTAATACAGTGCTGGTGGGAATGTAAATGAGTTCAGCCATTGTGGAAAGCAGTGTAGCAATTCCTCAAAGAACTTAAAACAAAATTACCACTAGACTCAGCAATCCCCCATTATTGGGTATACACCCAAGGGACTATAAATCATTCTACAATAAAGACACATGCACACATACGTTCATCACGGCACAGTTCACAATAGCAAAGACATGGAATCAACCTAAATGCCCAACAGCAGTAGACTGGATAAAGAAAACATGGTACATATACACCATAGAATACTATGCAGCCATAAAAAAGAATGAAATCATGTCCTTTTTAGCAACATGGATGGAGCTGGAGGTCATTATCCTAAGCAAACTAATTCAGGAACAGAAAACCACATACTTCATGTTCTCACTTGTTAGTGGGAGCTAAGTGATGAGAACACATGGACCCAAAGAGGGAAACAACATACACTGGGGATTACTTAAGGGTGGAGACAGAGAAGGGAGAGAATAAAAAAAACTACCTATTGGGAACTATCTTTATTACCTGGGTGACAAAATAATCAGTACACCAAACTCCTGAGACACGTAGTTTACCTGTGTAACCTGTACATGTACCCCTGGACCTAAAATAAAAGTTTATAAAAGAACTTCAACTTTATTAAGGGTAGTATCTAAAACCTATACCAGTTATTACATTTAATGGTGAAACACTGGAATGTTCCTTCTGATGTAAGATTAATAGTGTCCATCCACTTGCCCACTTCTATCTACCAACATATTGGAAGTCCTCAGCAGAGTGGTAAGGAGGTAAAAAATGGATGGGTAGGTGGGTGATAGGAGAGGATGAAACACAAATGTCATTTTTCACAGATTAGGAACTTATGTACCTGGAGTACACAAAATAATATACAGATAAACAATCGAGATAAATTTAGTAAAGCTGCTGGATCTAAAAAAAATAATGCATAGTAGCCACCCCTTCTTCACAGAGAGTACATGCTGACACCCCCATGGAGGCCTAAAACCACAGACATTACTGAATCCTATACATACTATGTTTTTATATATACATACCCATGATAAAGTTTAATTTATAAGTTAGGCACAAGAAGAATAACAATAAAATAGAACAATTATAACAAAATGCTATAAAAATTACGTGAGTATGGTATCTCAAAGTATCTTATTGTACTTCATTTACTCACATAATTTTTAAAGTATTTGAGTATGGTATCTCAAAGTGTCTTATGGTACTTCACTTACCCTTATGATGTGAGATGATAAAATGCCCATACAATGGGATGGAGTGAGGTGAATCACATAGGTATTGTGACTTAGCGTTAGGCTACTGTTGACCTTCTGACCGTACATCAGGAGGAGGAGGATCACCTGCTTTCAGTAATCCTAGATCATGAAGCCATGCCTATGTGAATTGTTAGATATCAGGATCATAAGATATCCTGTTAATGACTAATGCAAAAAGCGTGGATACTTTGGACAAATGGATGTGATTCGTGTCCTGGGTCTGACGGTGTGAGAATTTACCATGCTACTCAGAATGTCACGCAATTTAAATCTCATGAATTGGTTTATTTCTGGAATTTTCTGTTGAGCATTTTCAGACCATGGTTAACTGCGGGTAACTGAAACCACAAAAGGTGAAACACCAGATAAGGGGGGACTATTGTATCCAAGTCAATTGCATCTGTGTAACCAACAATAAAAAATGAAATTGAAAAAAAAAAAAGTAAAGTGTATCCATGGGAAAAAAGATAATAAAAGCATCAAAAACTAGGAAATACCAAGGAATATAACTCCAACAAAAGATGTGAGGGAACTTTTTAGAGAAAATGATCAAAACTATTGACAGTTTTTTAAGTAAATGGATAACTATTCATGTTCATGAATTTGAAGATTGAATATTGTAAAGATGTTAATTCTCCTTAAGTGATCTTTAGACTTAATGCCATGCTAATAAAAGTCTTAAGTGTACTACTGTACAGCAGTAAAAGTGAATTATAGAAGCACAAACAACTCAAAAACAACAGCAAATGAAAGCAGCAAGTTACAAAATGTAGTGTAAAACTAAACTGTAGACATTCAGTCGTAGGTACTTAAGACTATAAAAGGAAATCAAGGGAATAAATAAGGATAAGTGACTAAAATAGGGATAGTGACTACCTAAAATAAAGGTGTGGGGGATGTCATCAGGGAGGGTCATGTTTCCAGGATGCAGTCATTATGTCTTGACCTGAGTGGTAATTACATGGTCACTCACTGAGTGTATATTTTATGCAAATAAAAAATTAAGGAGCGAAGCCAAATAATTTGAAATAGGCTTAGTATATTGCTGACAATTGATCAGTTATTAAGCTAATCCATGATATGATTAAGTTATTGGTGATTGTTCCATAATGTTGAAGTAACTTGAATGGTTTAGGATACTTCATTGAGAAAGAAAATTCAATTTATAAGAAGTATATTTTTTTAAGACTCTCAGAAATGTTTTGCTACTCAGTTTACTAGAATCTATACTACAGAATTTAGCATATAGCAAATTCTGCTTTTACTAGGGAAGATCATTAGTGGAAGAAATACAAATTTTTTATAAAACATGGTAATAGTGAGCAATGATATGTACCACTTTTTGAGCACTTACCATGTACTAGGCATAGGGTCAAGTATTAATGTATTATCTTATTAATTCTGGGAAAAAGTCTAAGGGTAAATACCACTATTATCCCCGTATTACATGTTAAGGGTCAGAGTCAGTTTATGGTCTTAGCCTTTCTGATTCGAGAACTCCTTAACCATAGCCCAATAAGGGTAAGAATGACTAGTAGTGTGTATAGTATTACGTATTGTTACAGATTCTCATTTGTTTTTTACTCTCACTCTGAGTGTAGAGTGGAGTTTTCCAGAGACTACATAGCATGTGATGTTGCAACAGCCTGAATGCAAAAGCAGATATTAGAATTCATTCATCTTCAATTAAGCCAGACATTAGAGACTTGAAAAAATATATTTTTTAAAAATGGGGGTTGGGGGTGGGGGAGCCAGGCTCAGTGGCTCACGCCTCTAATCCCAATACTTTGGGAGCTGAGGCTGGAGGATCACTTGAGCTCAGGAGTTCAAGACCAGCCTGGGCAATACAGCAAGACCTTGTCTCAATTTTTAAAAAATTAAATAAGTAAATATATATAAAACAAGGCTGTACTTTTTTACTATCCTTTTTAAGTCTAATAAATGAATATTTTTAAGACTTGTTCATCTTAACTTCAAATATGATCATTATTAATAGATATAACTCACAGAAATGAAAGCTCATTGGGGCCGTCAGTAATTTTTATATGTGTAAAAGGGTCCTGAGACCAAAAAGTTAAAGAACTGATAATCTATGTGATTTCTTACATTCTCATATTTGATTTTGTTCTTATAAAATATCTGTTTTTAGGTTGCTACAAGCCTCAGGAAAAATCAGATTACTTGATGTTGGCAGCTGCTTTAACCCATTTCTGAAGTTTGAAGAATTTCTAACTGTTGGCATAGATATTGTACCTGCTGTAGAGGTATGCATAGTTTTGTTTTTGGACTTTAATATTTTACATGTATATTTACAAAAGAAAAGCACTGTCTTTGCATCCCTAAAATAGCAAATGTATTTCCTGTGTACCCATTGAGGAGAGATTTCAAAACTAAATACATTTTGTGAATAATTGAGCATTTAACCAAATATTGTCTTTATTTTCTTTATCATCTAAATAGCCATAATCTAAAACTATGTTAGAGCAAAATCATTGCAATTAAGAAACTTCAACTGGGCATGGTGGATCACTCCTGTAATCCCAACACTTTAGGAGGCCAAGATGGGTGGATCACCTGAGGTCAGGAGTTTGAGACCAGCCTGGCCAACATGGTGAAACCCCGTCTCTACTAAAAAATAAAAAAAATGTAGCTGGGCGTGGTGGCAAGCGCCCATAATCCCAGCTACTCAGGAGGCTGAGGCAGGAGAATCGCTTGAACCCGGGAGGCGGAGGTGGCAGTGAGTCGAGATCGCGCCACTGCACTCCAGCCTGGGTGACACAGTGAGACTCCGTCTAAAAAAAAAAAAAAAAAAGAAACTTCAGTAGATTACAGAATTCCACATAGCTGTAGTGTTTGGGTTTTGCATTTTGTTATATTTGGTTTATTATTTTCTTTTAATGCATCTCTTTCTGAAATATACAGTGTTGTAGAGCCATTATGGAATAGTAGAAAGAGGCAAGGGCTTTGGCATCAGCCAGAACTTTATTAAATCCAGCTTGTTTGTACTTGAGTCGATGAAACTACTTAACACTTGGCCTGGTACATTATGGGAACTCAATAAATGATAGATACTATCCTTTCTTTTGAGAACATTTCCTATGGGTCAGTTATTATGACACTATCATTTCAATTCAGTGAAGCAGGATCACCTTATCAGCTTGAACTTTTTTTTAAGATGGAGTTTTGCTCTTGTTGCCCAGGCTTGAGTGCAGTGGCATGATCACTCACTGCAACTTATGCCTCCCGGGTTCCAGTGATTCTCCGGCCTCAGCCTCCTAAATAGCTGGATTACAGGCATGTACCACCACGCCCAGCTAACTTTGTATTTTTGGTAGAGACAGGGTTTCACCATGTTGGTCAGGCTGGTCTCGAACTCCTGACCTCAGGTGATCCACCTGCCTCAACCTCCCAAAGTGCTGGGATTGCAGGCATGAGCTACTGCACCCAGCCACCTTGAACTTTCTTTTACCTTAATCATGTGATGCCAAGAGTTTGTGTTAAAGGCATTTTTTAAAGATAGATAACTCTAAAGTAGGCACATTATTTATATCAGAAAAAGACTTTTTTCCAGAATAACATTAATTCATTATGTTTACCATTTTACTCTTGATAGAACTCTAGACATAAAAATTTTTACAAAATGCATTTAAATAGTTACAAAATGCATTTTAATGTTATTTTTAAAGTATGGATTAGAGTATTAATATATTAGTTATTAGGGATTTTTTTCCCTCTATTGCTGTATTCCCAGTACCTAGAAGAGTGCCTAGTATATTTAATACTTTTTTAAATAAAAGAATAGAATCATGTTTCCAGCCTAGGTTTGAACCTCTCCATCACCATTTTCTAGTCTCTGATCCTCAGTTTTCTCATCTGTATAATGGGGTTAGTAGTAGACCACATTTCATAGGTTGTTGTAATGTTTTCTTGAAAAAAAAAAAAAAGTATTTAAAGCATCAAGCATAGTAGCTCTTATACAGTGCCTGCTAAATAAATGTTTGTTGTTACTACTGGTAAATTCCTGCATGAAGATTTAACTTTCATATGAAACTTTGATTATGAATCATTTTGATGAGCATGATTAAATCTGTATAACATCAAGGAACAAGCAAGTCCTAAAACCATTACTGTTATTTCTACTTTCGTTTTCTCTATTATAAAATCACTGTTCTTAGCTTACCACTGCAGAGAAGTTCTGTGCCATCAGGAACTAGTTTTAAAGCCCAAGTGGCTTCATGCATGGATTATCTTCCCTTCCTTCCTCAAGATATACATGAGAGATGTTCTTCAGGGACTGCTGAGACACCATGACCATTTGATCTGATCCTTAAGCTTAATATTAAATCTATTTATGGATAGGTTTATAAACACTGAATTGTATAGTCACCAGGGAAGACAAAAGACGGCTATACATAACTTAAGTAGTAGAATCAGAGTTTCACAGTTCAGAATCCTATAACTAATTTTAAAACAGAGTAAAGGGACTTACTCTTCCAGCCAAGATGGGATAAGATAGACCAGCTTTATCCTCTTCCACTTGAAGCAACAAAATATTCGAAATAATTTTGACACTGCACATCAGGTAATGAAGGACAGTAATCTCTGAGAGATGGAAAACAAATGAGACAAGCCCTACAATTACTCTAGGATATTGCCTTGAGAGAGTTTCCAGGATATAGCACAGGGAGAAACCCAAGCAGAGTTCAGGTGATTCTGTGAGTTGTGAAGAGTCCTAGGGAGTTGAGAGTCCTAGGAGACCGAGGCAGCTAGAGTTTCTAGAATGGTCTACTGAAAATAAGAAAGCCATAGAGGGAAAACTCCAGAGGCCTGCAAAAGGTCCCCTTTGAATACTCAGCTGAGTACAAATCAGCACACATGTATATGAGAAAACTACATGAGACTAGATAAGGTACTGTCCAAAAGGCTTAGAGATTACAGTGGCCAGCAGTCACACAGAGAAGTATTAATATTGTACCTGTTCCCATCAGCCATACTGGAGCATTCAAGATTCACAGACATTTAATAGAGTACACAGAGAAGGGTCTTACCTCAATAATGGAGAATAATTTGCCTTAGACTAAATACTAGTGCTCTAGTCCCATGTAACAAATCTTAAAAGTAAGACCCAAAAACTTCAGATTGTCTCCAGGTTTCTTAACTACATCCCAGAACACAGTTCAGGAATATTTATAGCAATCCATAGTTATGTAGAACCCACCAAGGTAAAATTCACCATGTCTAGCATCCAAAAAAAATTACAGCCATGCAAAGCAGCAAGAAAATAGGACCCACAGTGAGGAGATAAATCAGCCAACAATGACCAACCCTGAACTGACACAGAAACAGGGACATTAAAATAGAGATAATACCAGTTTGGGAAAATTACTTAAGCTAAACTTTTACACAGTTTATATTCTTTCCTTATATGTGTTATGCTTCAATACAGTTTTATTATTTAAAAAAATCAAAACTGTATAAAAAGCTAAGTAGAAATAGGAAGATATTTTAAAATACCCAAATCTATCTTCTAAAGACAGATACTATAATGTGTGATGTGAAGATGCATACTGGATAGGATTAATGCATATTAGATGTTGCAGAAGGAAAGGGAAATTGAAGATACAACAATAGCAGCTATCCAAAATGAAACAGAAAATTTTTTAAATAGAAGAGCATCAGTGATACAAATCTAAGCAACTAAATATAAGCATAATTGGAATCCCCCAAAAGGTGGGGGATTTGAAAAAATGGCCAAAAACTTTCCAATTTAATTAAAGCTTTAAACTCACAAATTCAAAGAAGCCCAACAAACCCCAAACAAAAGAAACATCAAGAAAATTACACCAAGGAACATCAAATCAAACTTCTAAAACTAGTGATAAAATCTTAAAAGCTCCCAGAAATTGTAAAGACACCTTAAAGTACTGAAGGAAAAAGTCACCTAGAATTTTATACCCAGCCAAAATGTCTTTCAAAAATGAAGATGAAATCGATTTTCTTCAGATGTGTAAAAGCTGAAATTCAATATTAGCAAGCTTGTATTATAAGAAATGTTAAGGTGGAAGTGCTTTAGCCAGTTAGAAATATGGCTCTACACAAAGGAATGAAGAATACTAGAAGTGATAACTATACAGCTAAAAAGATTTTCTCTTGTTGTTTAAACTCTTTAAAGATAATTTACCATTGTTTCGGGTTGAATTATGTCAACCTAAAACAGATATGTTGGAGTTCTAACTCTAAAGATGTGACTTTATTTGAAGATAGGAGCTTTACAGAGGTAATCAAATTAAACAGGGGTGATTACAGTGGCCCCTAGTCCAATAAGACTCTGGTATACTTATAAAAAGGAGAAATTTTAACTCAGAAACAAGCACACAGGGAGAACGTCACATGAAGATGAACACAGAGATTGGAGAGATGCATCTATAAACCAAAGACCACCAAAGATTGCCAGCAAACCACTAGAGGCAAGGCAAGAGGCATTGATTAGATTCTCCCTCACAGCCCTCAAAAGGAAGAAATCTTCCCACAATCTTGACCTCAGACTTCTAAGCCTCCAGAACTATGAGAAAATTTATATTGTTTAAGCCACCCAGTTCATGGTACTTTGTTACAACAGCACTAGCAAACTAATACAACAACTTAAGCAAAAATAATGATATAGAGTGGGGTTTTTAATATAGATAAAATGAACATTTATGACAGTAGCATAAAGGGTGACATGAGAGAATCAGAAATATACTTGGCCCTCCATATACTTGGATTCCACATCTGTGGATGCAGTCAACCACAGATCAAAAATATTTGCGGCAGGGCATGGTGGCTTACACCTGTAATATCCCAGCACTTTGGGAGGCCAATGCAGAAGGACTGCTTGAGCCCAGGAGCTTGAGACCAGCCTATGCAACACAGCAAGACCCCATCTCTACAAAAAATAAAAAAGTTAGCCACGCATGGTGCACTTGTAGTCCCAGCTGCTCAGGAGACAGATGGGAGGATCGCTTGAGCCCTGGAGGTTGAGGCTGCAGTGATCCAAGATTGTGCCACTGCACTCCAGCCTGGGCAACAGAGGGAGACCCTGTCTCAATAAATAAAAATAACAATACAACAATAAAAATAATATAGCATAACAACTATTTACATAACATTACATTGCATTACATATTATAAGTAATCTAGAGATGACTTAAAATATATGGGAGGATATGCATAGGGTGTATGCAAATATACCATTTTATATAAAGGACTTGAACGTGGATTTGGGTATGTACAGTGGTTCCTGGAACCAGTCCACTGTGATAATATTAGTACTTTGAGGTTCTTATACATTAAGTGGTGTAATATCACTTGAAGGTAGACTGATAAGTTAAAGCAACTGCTGAAATAAAAGAGTTATACCTAATCAGCCAACAAGGCTAATAAAATCATAAAAAATTTAGTTAATTCAAAAGATGAAGGAAGAGGGGAAGGGAACAACAATCAAGTGAGACAAGTAGAAAATAAATAGCAAGATTATAGATTTAAAACCTAATCACATCAATCAACACATTAAATAGAAATGGCCTAAATGCCCCAATTGAAAGGCAAAGACTGGCAGATTGGGGGAAAAAAGCCAAGACCCAAATATATGTTGCCCATAAGAAATGTACTTCAATTATTAAGACACAAATAGAGTGAAAGCAATAAGATGGAGAAAAGAAAGCTGGCATGGCTACATTAAAATTAGACAAAGTATATTTCAGAGCAAAGAATATGATCAGGGATAAAAATGACATTCCATAATGATTAAAGGGTCAGTTCATCAAGAGTACATAACAATCCTAAACCAAACTTGGTCTATGCACCTAATAACAAAGCTTCCAAATATGTAAACCAAAAACTGATAAACTGTCAAGGAAACATAAACATTGATAAAATTATAGAGATTTCAGCACCCCTCTAAATAATTCCTAGAACAGGTATACTGAACACTTGGCGAAGAATTCACAATGGAAATTAGAACTTTTTTGAAATAAAAATACAAGATATCAAAATGCATAGATGTCACTAAAGTCACAAAAGTAGTACTTAGGGGAAAATTATAGCACTAAACACCTTTATTAGGTAACAGTCTCAAAGCAATGACATCAACTTTTCAACTAGAAGAAAAAAGAAGAGCAGTAAATCCAAAAGGAAATAATGATCAGAGCAGAAATCAAATGAAATAGAAAACTTTCAGAAAAATAGGGAAAATTAATGAAAGCAAAAGCTAGTTCTTTGAGTAGATGAATAAAATTTATAAACTCTAGCCTACTGATCAGAAGTAAAGAGAAAAAGGTAACATCATGACAGATTTTACCAACATTAAAAGTATAAGAAAATATTTTGAACAACTTTATGCCAATAAATTCGACAATTCAAATGGACCAATTCCTTGAAAGACATAACCACCAAAGCTTATTCATGAAGAAACAGATAAGATGAATGGCCCTAAATCTATTGAAGAAATTATGAATTGGCAGTTTAAAACCTTCCCACAAAGAAAATTCCAGGCACTAACGCCTGCATGTTAAAATTTACCAAATATTTACAGAAGAAATAATACCAATTATATATATTCTCTTCCATAAAATTGAAATGGATGGAATACTTCCCAACTCATTCTATGAGGCCATTACTCTGGTATCAAAATCAGACAAATGTTATAAAACAAAACTACAGATCCATATCCCTTATGAATATAGATACAGATGTTCTATACAAAATTTCAGCAAATTGAATCCAACAAGGTATTTTAAAAGGATAATATATAATGGCCAAGTTTGGTTTATCTCAGGAATGCAAGCTTGGTTTAAAATTCAAAAACAATCTATCGTATGAACTCAAAAAGAAAAAGTCATTTGATCATTTCAGTAGGCACAGAAAAGGCATTTGACAAAGCTTTGACAAAATTCAACATCTGGACTTTCCTGATTTAAAAAAAAAAAAAAAACTCAGAATTTAAGGGAATTTCTTGAACCTGATAAAGGGTATCTGAAAAATCTCCAGCTAACATCATCCTTAATGGTGAAAGAAAAATGCTTTTCTCACAAAAACAAGATAAGGATGTTTACTCTTACAGCTTCTATTTAGCATTTGTACTAGAGGTTCTAACAATTCAGTAAAGCAAGAAAAAGCAATAAGCAGCATGCACATTGGAAAGAAGTAAAACTGTATTCACAGGTGTCATCGATCATCTATTTGATTTTTCTGTGTAATCTTCAAAGAAGCTCCTAAAACTAACAAATGAGTTTAGCAAGGTTGCAAGAGACAAGATCAATATACAGAAATTTGTGTGTATATACTAGCAGCAACCAATCAGAAATTTTAACTAAAAACAGTACCATACTCTGGCATCAAAAATATGAAATGTTTATTTTATATGTGAGTATATATGAAATATGTAGCTCATAAATCTGACAAAAGTAGAAAAATCCACATGCTGCAAACCACAAATTAGGAGAAAGTAAAGATGACCTAAGGTGGGTGCAGTGGCTCACACCTGTAACCGCAGCATTTTGGGAGGCCTAGGCAAGTGGATTGTTGGAGTCCAAAAGTTCGAGACCATCCTGGGCAATGTGGCAAAAACCTGTCTCTACAAAAAAAAAAATAGAAAAATTAGCCAGATGTGGTGGCACTCGCCTGTGGTCCCAGCTACTCAGGAGCCTGAGGTGGGAAGATTGCTTGAGCCCAGAGGGTGGAGGTTGCAGTGAGCTAAGATCACACCACTGTACTCCAGCCTAGGTGACAGAGTGAGACCCTGTCTGTATAGAGTCAGTGCAGTCCTCATCAAAACTCTTGTGGGCTTTTTTGTAGAAATTGAAAAACTTACTCTAAAATCTGTGTGGAAATTCAAAGGACCTAGAATAATAGCTCAAAACAACTTTGAAGGACAGTGTTGGAGAGTAACACTACCTGATTTCAAAATTATAAAGCTACAGTATTCAAGACAGCATGGTATTGATGTTCAGGAATATCAGTGAAATATAATAGATGGTTCACAAATAAGCCCAAACTTACGTACGTGATTTTTGCCCAAGATGGAAAGCATAGTCTTTTCCACAATGGTGTTGAAACAAAGGGGTATCCATATACAAAAGAAGAAACTTCAAACCATACCACACTCCATATAAAAAAAAAGACCTTGGCTGGGTGTGGTGGATCATGCCTGTAATCCCAGCACTTTGGGAGGCCAAGGTGGGCGGATCACAAGATCAGCAGTTCGAGACCAGCCTGGCCAATATGGTGAAACCCTGTCTCTACAAAAAATACAAAAATTAGCCAGGCATGGTGGTGCGTGCCTGTAGTCCCAGCTACTCAGGAGAGTCTGAGGCAGGAGAATCACTTGAACCCAGGAGGCGGAGGTTGCGGTGAGCCAAGATCACGCTACTGCACTCCAGTCTGGGCAACAGAGTGAGACTCCATCTCAAAAAAACAAAAAAACAAACAAACAAAAAAAACTCAAAATGTATCATAGACCTAAATGAAAAAGCCATAAACTATAAAACTACTAAAGGAAAACATTTTGAAAAAAAGTCTTTATGACCTTGGGATAGGAAAAGACTTTTTAGACCTGACTTTGAAAGCAACATCTAAGAAAGAACAAATTGATAAATTAGTCTTCATCAAAATTTAAAACTTCAGCTCTTCAAAGGACACTGTTAAAAGAATGAAAAGATAAGCCACATGATACTGAGAAAATATTTTCAAGTCATATATCATAAAGGACTTGCATCAAGAATAAAGAACTCTCAAAACCCAGAAAGAAAATACTTAAAACTTTATTTAAAGCAACCCAATTATTTTTAAATGGGCAAAATATTTGAACAGACACTTTAACATAGAAGATATCTGGATGGCAAATAAGTCCGGGAAAAGATGATAAATGTCACTAACTCATTAGGAAAATGCAGATTAAAACTGAAATACCACTACACATCTATTACAATTACTAAAATGAAATAGACTAGCTATACCAAGAGTTGATAAGGATTTGGAGGAACTGGAACTCTCACATACTCCTGGTGGGAACATGAAACTACATAACCACTTTTGAAATCAGTTGGGAGTTATTTAAAAATTAAACCTACTACACCACCTACTGTATGATCTAGCCACCCAAGATATTTCCCCAAGACAAATTAAAGAATGTTGATTCAAACACATGTATGGGAATACTCACAGCAGCTTGAAATGTAATAACCAAAACTAGAAACAACCCAGATATCCATAAACAGGTGTATATGGATAAACCAACTGTGGTACATCCTTGATACAATGGGATACCATTCTGCAATTTAAAAAGGAATAAACTATTAATACCTGCAAGAAAAATCTCAAAATGATTATTTATATAAAATTCTAGGAAATACAAACTTCAATGGTTGCCTGCTGGCAGGGGAAGAGAAGGAAGGGACTATAAAGGGGAATAAGGAAAATTATGGGGTGTTGGATCTGTTCATTAATTCGACCATGCCAGTGGTTTCATGAGTGTAAAAATACCTCACAACTTATCAGACTTATGCTTTTTGTCACTTATACATCAATAAAGCTGCCTTTAAGAAAAAGGGAAGAAGAAAAGCATCTTTTTTTCAGGTACTAGAACATTGCATATCACTTTTCCTAATAAACAGTCCAGATGACTATGTGGCCGGCTTGTATATACACTAACATGAGTGAGGGATTAAGGTATTAGGTCATATCTTTGTTAATAACTATTGGTATATGATAGAGTTATTTTTGTCTAATTTTAAAATTGCTTATTCTGATTCATTTCCATAGTTTTAAGATTTAGCAAATTATATAATGTTATTCATTCCTCTGTTGTATTGTTTCCCATGGTCATTTGTCTAACTAAATCTAGTTTGTTCCAAACTAGGGATTAACTTTTTAATAGAATAAAAGTAATGTTGAGGGTTACTTTTTAAATGGTTAAAGTTAACAGTTTCAAAGAACTAAAGTTTTGGAATCATTCTGCTTGTACAAATTTTATAATGCCTCTTTCATTATCCTCTTTATTTGATTCATCTTTATTTCATGGTATTTCTTGTTTAGCATTTTTATATTAGTTTGTTTTTGGTAACTGTAAATGTTAAAGTGAATGTAAATAGAAATGTCATTCCTGTAAACTCCTACCCAAATTAAAATTCATGTAAGTCCCAACCCAAAATACACAAATTATTTCCCATTTTAAATTGTTAGGCAAAAAACATATATTTAAATGATGATTAGCAGGTCTTTGGACTTAATTACTTTGAGATTTTTGTAAAAGTTGTGGTTGAATACATCTGTTCAAGTTTAATAATTTAAAAGGAAAAATGTATAATCAATGCTGGAATTACTATGATATGTGAAATGGTTTGCTGAAAAGTCTATGTACTAAAGTGGAAATAATCTTGAAGTTCTTAATATGCCTTGTTTTCTGTTTCTGCAGAGTGTCTATAAATGTGATTTCCTGAACTTACAGCTTCAGCAACCACTCCAGCTTGCACAGGATGCTATAGATGCTTTTTTGAAGCAGCTGAAAAACCCTATTGATTCTCTTCCTGGAGAGCTTTTCCATGTGGTTGTTTTCTCTCTCCTTCTTTCTTATTTTCCATCTCCTTACCAGCGATGGATTTGCTGCAAGAAAGCCCATGAACTGTTAGTGTTAAATGGTTTATTACTAATCATCACACCTGATTCCTCCCATCAGAACCGTCATGCTATGATGATGAAAAGCTGGAAGATTGCTATAGAGTCCCTGGGCTTTAAACGCTTCAAGTACTCAAAATTTTCACATATGCATCTGATGGCATTTAGGAAAATCTCTCTAAAAACCACAAGTGACTTGGTTAGTAGGAACTACCCAGGAATGTTATATATTCCTCAAGATTTCAACAGTATAGAAGATGAGGAATATTCTAACCCTTCCTGCTATGTTCGATCAGATATAGAAGATGAACAACTAGCATATGGTTTCACAGAACTCCCTGATGCGCCATATGACTCAGATTCTGGAGAAAGTCAAGCCAGCTCTATTCCTTTCTATGAGCTAGAAGACCCCATATTACTTTTAAGTTAATATAGAAGCAAAAAGCCCCTTTCAGTCCAGGCTCCTAAACTAATTGCTTACACCAATTGGAAATACTAACATGAACTCAGTACTGAAAACCTGGTTTGCATAAAAGAAATGCAGAGGTTTACAGAGTTTGCTATTTTTTTCTACTTCTCAATTTTAAAATTTATTCTTATATAGAAAGCTTAAAGTTTCATGCAGAGTGACTCATGTCATAGCAGAAACTACTGTTACTTTAGCATTTAGCACTATCATAGAAAGGTACCTTTTTCTCTTTAGTGCTATTGTGAAAACAAGCATAATTTGCTATATGTTTTCCTTTTCAACTTTTCAGTGTTGACTATAAACCATTGAATGGAAAACTTTAAGATGTAGAAAGCTGTAGATTGCACTTTGATGACTCACAAGTTAAATGTGATACAGAAAAATAGATCGGTTAGTTGTTTTGTGATGCACTTATCTTTTTCTTTTTTCTAACTAAAATTGTGATGTTACAGAAAGTCATTTTATGTTCCTTTTTTGTCTGATGATCCAATATTTACTGAACTTTTTGTAATTGGTGATAATTCTTTTTATTTCTTCCTTATATTAAAAGCTCATTTGACAGCATCAGACATTGGGGGAGAGATGTCCCCCAAAGTGTGTATTCTAATTTTATTAGCCCTATCCAATAAACACCATTGCCAAAGTAGTATTTTCATAACTTTCTTGTTGATTTGGGCCTTGGTGTGAAGTATATTTACCTGAGAGTTCACTTTTACTTTTCTTAAACTTAGGCTTCATTTACAAAATGTTTTATTTAAGCAAGGAACAATGTAATACTCAATAATGACCTAAAACACCTTTTTGAAAGGGTTTGCACTTGGAAGAGAGTTTATGTTCTGTTGAAACCAACTTTGATAGGGTCCTCACCTTTCCGTTAAGGAGGTGCCGCACTACAAGTTTCAAATTATATGGAAAAACCTAAAATTAACCCTCTGTTGGTGATCTCATAAAATGGTTTTGACCTTTTGGTATCTTAATTTCTATCTAAACTTTATCAGAAAATTTTCTTTGAATATATCAATTAGTTGGCTGTGGGAATTTTCCCTTTCCACATTAATAAATGCCTTTCTGTGTTTCTGAATCAGAAGCAAATGATTAGGGAAAAATATATGTCCAAACAAGACAAGATTAGTTTAAACAGTTAAGAACATTTAGTCCACATTGTCTTGTCAGCCAGCAATTGTCATGGAAGCTATCATTTTTAAGAGTGCCACTGTGTGGATTTTTTTTTCAAGTGGTTATTACATTAAAATTACCTCATACTGAGGTTTTTGCACTGAAATATCACAGTTTCAGATTTCATGGTTAATGTTGTGCGTATGTTTGTATGTTTTTAAAGGAAACTTGCATTTTCAATAGTTGATCCTAAATTTCATAAACTGCACTTCTTTACTCTGGTAAAGCTGATGTTTTTGTGCTTATTGTGAATTGCCGTAGTACCTTTGAATGTCAAACTTTATTTAGAAATATAAAACTTATCCTTTATGATATAAATGGTTGAGTGTATGTACCCAGTATTTCTAATTAAATTTCACATGCTAAATTAATGAAAGTAACAAGATTGTAATTTTTTAAAGTCAGTTGATTAAATGCAATAAATATTGGTTGCTCAAATATGCCACAAATAACTCGAAATTTTTCATTTACTTTCAACAGCATAAGATTCTTTAATATTTAGGATTGACTGTTCTTTCCAGTTAAGCACTGAAGGATTATGTCTTGTAGCTTCCCCAAGAGAAGGGGAAGGAAAAAAAAGCACTATGTTAAGGATAATACAGAACTCTTTTGAACTATTTTGGTAGTACCTTTTACCATACTGTTTGCTTTTTGATTTGGGTAAATATCTTAAGAGCAAAGAAAACAATACACCAAATGAAAATGCTTTGAAAGTAAATGAAAACAGCGCTTTTGAAAGGCTGGTATAGTATGACCCTGGAGTCAGCCTTTGTGTTACAGCGAAAATGTTGGTGCTATAAATTCTGATTGTTTACAGATGTTGATTCTGCTTATGCTCCAAAGTGTGCATGATGTATTTTACGTAGTACTCTGAGGAAGTCTCTTTATAAAACCTACTACCACTTAGTATAAATTTGTTTGAATTTATATCATTTGTTACTGTAAATTCAGCTTATTCCAATTAGGTTGGCACAGATTTAAACTGATACACATTCCACAAAAACCAATTCAGTGTATAAGTATTGAAGTATAAGCAGTCATTGCAGCTTGATGCCAGATCATGTATGTAATAACAAGTGGAAGTTAATAGGGCCTTCTAATACTGTATGGGTACTCCTAAGAATTATTTCATTTTGGATATAAAGAAGTTATGAGGCCTCCTGTCACATTCACAGCTGGTTCTCCAAAATAATTTGGTTGTTTCAAAAACAAATGGTAATCATTTGGTTGGATTCTTCAGTATCATGACTAGATCATGTGGTTTTACCATAGTTGCCAAGTGGTGGGAGGTAGCATACCTGAAAATGTACGTGTGTGTTTGTTGTATTTTTTCACATTTTGTGAACAAAGCACATTTATTAAAAATTTTAAATTTTCTAGTATTCTTTGTCTGTTACTTGTAAACCGAAAGTTCTGTGGTCTTTGATGTATCTCACTAAGTGATTTCAGCATTGGGAAGCAATTTAGAACTTGAGTGACTTGTACAATTTTCCCACTGGGTTTCATTTTTGTTAAATCCCTTAATGTCATAAATTTATTCACTGAGATCCAGAGAACTCAGGTGACTTCCCATTGTCATGTTTTGTCATGTTTATGGCAGAAGCAGGGCAACAGCATAAATTCTACTTTATTGTATGTCAACCATATCATATTCTTTTTTTTTTTTTAAGTAAGCTACATAATTTATCAGCTCTTTCAGGACAGCAGATGTCTTCCTCATGATATGAAAGGTTTTTTGTTGTTGTTGTTTATTAAACAAATGTTTGAATTCTGCCATGTGCTATATGCTGGGAAAGCAGCAAGGATTGGAGTGATCATTGTCCCCTGCTCTCATGGAGCTTATGACCTAAGAGTGAAGACAAGCATGCTACATGTACTTAGTATCTGTATCCAAGAATGATTACCTGCTGATGCTACAGTTTTGCCCCTGCTTAAAATCCTTAATTCACAGAAGTAGAACAGGAAATAAGAAAAGCTTTAAACACAAAACTAGCAAATTACACATTGTGGATAAGAGAGATGTATTGTTCATTCCTCTAGGAAAGTATAACCTAAATATAAATTCTGATGTAAAAGCAGAAAAAAAAATGGATTCAAGCTTTTTGTTCCGTTTTCCCACACTTTCTGAGCACTATGCAGCAATGCTATTCCTCTGCAAGAGTCCACACACTAGGTCAGCAGAAATGTAAATCAAAGATTTGGTTCCTTCTTGGTTTTGTAAATTGCTTGTTAAATGATAACAAAGGTAGAAAACAAATTCTTTGTTACAAAAAAAAAAAAAAAACCCATAATACAAACATTTACTACAAGGAATGTTTGTATTATAATAACTTTATTCTTAAAAAAAACTGAATTGCCATAACCATGATAGTATGATAATTCATGTTAAAGTCATATCCATGAGCTACTGTGAATGCAAAGCTCCCGAAGTATATTAGTGGTGGCCTATATATATACACACTACAAAACCCAGTGAACAAGCAGGCTACAATAGCTAACAATTTAAAGATCTCTAAATGCGTAAAAGGAGATACGCTGGTTTTTCTAAACCCTGTTTTTCTCTTGGCAGAGAAATGGAAATCTCAACAATTGGAAAGCCTTTTAAATGTACCTTAAACTTTGGTTTGTATGCTTTTTTCTAAATTTGTTTCAGAATCTCAGTAGTTTTCTGGGTGGCTCATGCCTGTAATCCCAACAGTTTGGGAGGCCGAGGTGGGTGGATTGCTTGAGGTCAAGAGTTCGAGATCAGCTTAGCCAACATGATGAAACTCCATGTCTACTAAAAATACAAAACGTAGCCAGGCATGGCAGCATGTGACTGTAATCCCAGCTACTCAGGAAGCTGAGGCACAAGAATCGCACGAACCTGGAAGGCGGAGGTTGCAGTGAGCTGAGATCACACCACTGCACTCCAGCCTGGGTGACAGCTAGGTCTCAAAAAAGGAAAATAACCATCTCAGTAGTTTCTAAATTAGTATGCATCTATTTTTTTAAATGAGAATCTTGTTACATATGGCACTATAGAGTATGAACTTTTAGTAATTATGAGTTAAGCAGTTCAACTTATTTTGAATTTTATTTTCAACCATAACACCTTTGCTAAGTTATGAGAAAGCTAGTCTGCTTTTTGTGATAGTATAAAATATTTATTGTCAATGGTTGTTTTTAGTAATCATAAATGATAGCTAAAACTATTTTGCATCATAAATTTTTAAGTTTGGGCCCATCAGTAGTATCAAAGATGGTACTTCTTTCTATGGTTTTTAAGTTAAAGGAAAACTACAAAAAATTAGACCATAGGCATTGACTGCAGAATTGTTTCTTGAATTTGTCATTAATAATTTGAAAGCTGTAAAACAAATCTATTGATGGATTGGAATGCCCATGTAAACCATAAAAATGGCAGGGAGCATTACCCCAAAAAAAGGAAACAGTATTTTCTAGATCCAGCCCTGTTTGCAACTCTTTAGGAAGAAAATGCGAGAAAATATACTTGCATCCTTTTATTGCATATATCCAAGTAAACTATTCGTAGTGTCCTGATGACAGTATTTCTTCTGTAGCCCTTTGAACTGGTGTGGGAAATCAGCTACTGAGAAGAATATGATTTGTGGTCACAGATACTCTATGTGAAGCTATAATAGAATCCACATTTAAGTTGTTTACATTTACATTCATCCCTAGCCCTACAAATCCTTTTTACAGTTAGCTAATGCCACTCTAGCTATGCCTGTTGTCTTCTACAAGGAAAAAGAATACGAACATGACCATGGCCAATATTAATTTCCTTCTCCCTTAAACTCCTGTTCTATAATGCATCTCTGGATAATAGAGTTTGCATTGACAGGCTAAAACATGAAAGAATAATGAAGTCAGGAAAAAATGGTTTCCAAATTGCCACACATATTTTCAATAGAAATCCAAGCAATAACATGTTTCCTAAAGCTAGGCATGGATGAAACATTCCTTGGAAATAAATGGGTGATTACTGGAAGAAGGAAAAATCTTTGAGACTGTCTGCAAGAAGAAAGATGCTTAAGACAGAAAGAGGGCCTAACAGCTTAACTAACTGTATAATGAGCTTTATATTCTCTGGCTCCACTGAATCATTACCACGGATTAAAGTACTGGAGTACAGTGTGTTGGAAGTAGAACAGGGACTTGGGAATTTGGAAGTAAGAAGACATATTTTGATAGGAAAGTGGAATGGTCTGGAGCTTGTGACCAGAAAAGGTGAGGGCAGGTGGGGGGAGGGGAGGGCAGTGGGGAAGACCCTGTGGGCCTAGGGAATGGTGCCAGTTGGAATGAAGAGATACAGAATGGGAGTCAGGATGTCACAAACCATCCCTTTAGTCTTACGGTTAAATGAACTGCTAACATCAATTCTATAACTGAGAAAGTTCCAACAAATTATTTATAATAAAATGAACAGGCTGGGTGTGGTAGCTCACACCTGTAATCCCAGCACTTTGAGATGCCAAGGTAGGCGGATCGCTTGAGCCCAGGAGCTCAAGACCAGCCTGGCAATATAGTGAGACATCATCTGTACACAAAAATTTTAAAAATCAGCCAGGCGCAGTGGCATGCACTTGTAGTCCTCGCTACTCGGGAGGCTGAGGCACAAAGATCATCTGAGCCTGGGAGGCGGAGGTTGCAGTGAGCCAAGATTAGACCAACGGACTCCAGCCTGGGCAACAGACTAAGAGCTTGTCTGAGAAAAAAAGAAAGACAAACATTTTCCTCCCTAAAATTTATCAAATTTTAACATCACGCTATAGAAGATAGTATTATAAGTAAATATAGGTTAATAGTAATACTTCTGTGAGATACTGTGTAATACATTTTCCCACAGAATGTGAAGCATAAAATTCAAAAGAAAGCAAGCACAGCTCTTGTGACAAACCACTTTATATAGAGTATTACCTAAGACATTATGTACTTGGAGTTGTCTTGAGTAAATGAATTTTCACTGATCTAGTAGGCCTTGTGGTTCCCTTTTTATTTATTATTTTCTTTTTATTATTATTATTATTATACCTTAAGTTTTAGGGTACATGTGCACAACGTGCAGGTTTGTTACATATATATACATGTGCCATGTTGGTGTGCTGCATGCATTAACTCGTCATTTAACATTAGGTATATCTACTAATGCTATCCCTTCTGATGGGATGTATCTCAAAATAATAAGAGCTATTTATGACAAACCCACAGCCAATATCATACTGAATGGGCAAAAACTGGAAGCATTCCCTTTGAAAACTGGCACAAGACACGGATACCCTCTCTCACCACTCCTATTCAACATAGTGTTGGAAGTTCTGACCGGGGCAATCAGGCAGGAGAAAGAAAGGGTATTCACTTAGGAAAAGAGGAAGTCAAATTGTCCCTGTTTGCAGATGACATGATTGTATATCTAGAAAACCCCATTGTCTCAGCCCAAAATCTCCTTAAGCTGATAAACAACTTCAGCAAAGTCTCAGGATACAAAATCAATGTGCAAAATCACAAGCATTCTTATACACCAATAACAGACAAACAGCCAAATCATGAGTGAACTCCCATTCACAATTGCTTCAAAGAGAATAAAATACCTAGGAATCCAACTTACAAGGGATGTGAAGGACCTCTTCAAGGAGAGCTACAAACCACTGCTCAATGAAATAAAAGATACAAACAAATGGAAGAACATTCCATGCTCATGGGTAGGAAGAATCAATATTGTGAAAATGGCCATACTGCCCAAGGTAATTTATAGATTTGATGCCATCCCCGTCAAGCTACCAATGACTTTCTTCACAGAATTGGAAAAAGCTACTTTAAAGTTCATATGGAACCAAAAAAGAGCCCACATTGCCAAGTCAATCCTAAGCCAAAAGAACAAGGCTGGAGGCATCATGCTACCTGACTTCAAACTATACTACAAGGCTACAGTAACCAAAACAGCATGGTACTGGTACAAAAACAGAGATATAGACTAATGGAACAGAACAGAGCCCTCAGAAATAATGCCACATATCTACAACTATCTGATCTTTGACAAACCTGACAAAGACAAGAAATGGGGAAAGGATTCCCTATTTAATAAATGGTGCTGGGAAAACTGGCTAGCCATATGTGGAAAGCTGAAACTGGATCCCTTCCTTACACCTTATACAAAAATTAATTCAAGATGGATTAAAGATTTAAATGTTAGACCTAAAACCATAAAAACTCTAGAAGAAAACCTAGGCAATACCATTTAGGACATAGGCAAGGACTTCATGTCTAAAATACCAAAAGCAATGGCAACAAAAGCCAAAATTGACAAATGGGATCTAATTAAACTAAAGAGCTTCTGCACAGCAAAAGAAACTACCATCAGAGTGAACAGACTACCTACAGAATGGGAGAAAATTTTTGCAATATACTCATCTGACAAAGGGATAATATCCAGAATCTACAAAGAACTCAAACAAATTTACAAGAAAAAAACAACCCCATCAAAAAGTGGGCGAAGGATATGAACAGACACTTCTCAAAAGAAGACATTTATGCAGCCAAAAGACACATGAGAAAATGCTCATCATCACTGGCCATCAGAGAAATGCAAATCAAAACCACAATGAGATACCATCTCATACCAGTTAGAATGGTGATCATTAAAAAGTCAGGAAACAACAGGTGCTGGAGAGGATGTGGAGAAATAGGAACAATTTTACACCGTTGGTGGGACTGTAAACTAGTTCAACCATTGTGGAAGACAGTGTGGCGATTCCTCAGGGATCTAGAACTAGAAATACCATTTGACCCAGCCATCCCATTACTGGGTATATACCCAAAGGATTATAAAACATGCTGCTATAAAGACACATGCACACGTATGTTTATTGCGGCACTATTCACAATAGCAAAGACTTGGAACCAACCCAAATGTCCAACAATGATAGACTGGATTAAGAAAATGTGGCACATATACACCATGGAATGCTATGCAGCCATAAAAAATGATGAGTTCATGTCCTTTGTAGGGACATGGATGAAGCTGGAAACCATCATTCTCAGCAAACTATTGAAAGGACAAAAAACCAAACACCACATATTCTCACTCATAGGTGGGAATTGAACAATGAGAACACATGGACACATGGACACAGGAAGGGGAACATCACACACTGTGGTTCCCTTTTCATAACTGTGAGGACTATTTGTGGGATAACTAGCTCAGGTTAGATGTCATTTGTGGCAATAACATAGTTAACTAGTCTACACCAATCAATATTGATTCACTAGTTGAGAATTTCTGTGCTATGGCACTGGATTAGGTACTAGAAGGAGCAGATGTCTGCTCTGCTCTTCAGGGGCTGACAGTGGAAACTTAAATACACTAGCATTAATACAAGGCAAAAAATAAAAACAAACATTACAGAAAACATTCTTGCACTGCAGCATCTGGTGGTACATATAAATGAAACCTGTTCACTTGACTTTTATGACACACTGTTCTTAACCCATCTAGAGGCAATTTACTTTAATATGGATACCCCTTATCATAAAGGGGCCAAATGTAAATGATGCAGCCCCTCCGTACCTCTCCAATGCAACTTCCCACCATTCTCTCCTTCACCTTCTGTGTTAGAGTCCTAGGGGGAAACACACACACCCACACACATCATGTGACCACCTTTGCACTAGCTACTCCCTCTGCCTAGAATTTCTTCCTCCTACATTTTATTTCCATGGCTAGTTTGTTTTTGTTATTCAAATCTCTGCTTAAATGCCACATCCTCTGGGACACCTTCCTATTACACATAATCGAAAATTGTCTCTTCACAATACCATAAAGTCTCTGCATAGCTCTAATTATCTGAAGTTTATCTTTGTCCATGTTCATCTGTATATATGGGCAAAGCCCTTTTCTGTCCTGTGTCTTCAGCCTAAATAAGTACCTTGCATAAAGAAGGTGATGGAATACATATTTCCAAATGGTTAATTTTACCTTCCAAAATGCAACTGTGATGATACAGGGCCACTGCTGCTGCTTAGTTTATGAATCTTTTGGGGTAGTCTAGTCCTGTTTATATTAATTAGTTTATTAATATGTTCTCATAATTAAGATATAACTCAATTTATACTTCAGGAAAGTCTAAATTGGTTTGTATAAACTGAAGCTTAGATCAATACTAAGTAACCTGGAGCCATATAATTTCTCTTCTGTGTATTCCCACACATTCATTAAAATGAATTATATCTAAACCTGAAATCCTACTTTCTTACCACGTCCGTCAGTACTCTCTCTCCAATGGCCAGCTCCCACTCCTTGCTAGTGTAAGAATTTAAGTTTGTAAACCATCATTAGCTTTTACATCTTTAAAAGGAGTATTTACCTAAATGATCTCTTCAACCCCAGGAGAGAAGTGGTACTCCAGCAGTTTCTTTATTCGTATAAGGGATACGTGATTTGTACTACTTTCCACTGGCTTTTGTATCCAGAAAGATTTGCATCACCAACCCTATGAAAACTTACTGGGGCAAAGTTCTCCTCAGGGCCTGTTTATCCAAAAAATTCACTTTGCAAGGTTATCGATAGGTTTGAAAATGATGTCTATAAAGCAGATAACAATCTTGTCACATAGTAGGGATATGACATATAGTGACTATTATTTATTTTGGCAAAGTGTCTTTTATAGCCCCATTCCTTCTCTTCATTCAGTCTTGCCTGGTCTGCACACATTCACTGTTTCATCTCCACCATCACCACCCAATTCAAAATCTGATATCAACTCCTTAGAACCATATTGAGCAAGAAAATCAGTGTTAAATTTTCTTATCTTCAATTTTTCTTCCCTATGAATTCCCAGAAAATGATGTAAGATACACACTTCACTACAACCTACCCTACAAGATTTCAATGGAAACTACAAAACAAGTCACAACACAAGATTGTCTTGTCTTTTTATCTATGAATTCACAAAGACAGGGGACCACTTATTCATTGTGCTTGAGTCAACTATTAAGCCTGAGAGGGTTCCATAAATATCAAGGATGGCTGTGTTAGGCCACTCTTGCATTGCTATACTCAAGACTGGGTAATTTATAAGAAAAGAGGTTTAATTGGCTCATGCTTCTGCAGGCTGTACAGGAAGCATAGTGCTGGCATCTGCTTCTGGAGAGGCCTCAGGAAGCTTTTACTTGTGGCAGAAGGCAAAGCAGGAGCAGGCACTTCACATGCTGAAGGCAGGAGCAAGGGAGAGTAGGGGAGGTGCCATGCACTTTGAACAACCAGATCTCGTGAAAATGAACTCGCTACCCAGAGGAAGGCACCAAGCCATGAGGAATCCACTCCCATAACCCAAACACCTCCCACAAGGCCCCACCTCTAACACTGAGGATTACATTTCAACATGAGATTTGAGTGAGGACAATTATCCAAACTATATCAATGGCCGTTAATGTGAGGAGGATCACCAGCTTTAAGAGGAGGACGGGATTAGCAACATCACAGCATTAAATAGGAAGAAAACCCTTGAAACATTTTAATTCAGTTTCTAAAGCACTGACTTCATGAGCTGTATAAAAGCACACCAGATGTTGCTTCTATCATATTCCAAAGTACCCAGATGTAACCTCATCCACGGATAATACTTGTTGGAGGCACCAACTAAAGTTATTGACCGCATTACTGTATACTCAAGAACAGATTGGAAACTTAGTATCCCCTTTTGACATGACAACAGCCTAAAAAATTACAACAGGAGCAACAGAAAAAGTAACATTTTTATAAAATACCATTTGATTCTAAATAACATTTTTTATCTTCATAACTTACTAACATAAAGCGACGATTGCCTATCCAGTATTGTGCTAAGCACTCTACAAACATTTCCTCACTATAAAATAAGTGAGGATTTTACTTACCATTTTACTAGTGAGGAAAGTGAATCTTTGAGATGTTAATCAACTGTCTAAATTTACAGAGTTAGGAAAGTGGTTCATCCAGGATTTAACTCAGGCCTGACTTCAAAGCTCATGTTCACTCAGCATATTATCTGAATTACCTAATCAATTAAGCTGTCTAAATTACCATACATTTTTGAAATTAGTTTCATAAACATTAGACACTGTATATAGTGCTATGAGGATGCAAAGTTGAATAAGATATCTATATAAATGTTTGCATTACTGTAAGGGATTATTTTAGGTACTAAGTTAGATAGCAAGATTAATCAGACACATTATGCCTTCAAGAAGCTTCCAGTCTAGTGGGGAAGACAAAATATATACTTGAGAATTATAACACATGTTTAGGAAAAGATGTCACAAAAGAAATTGAAGAATCAAATATTTTCTCCTTTAAAAAGGCACAAGAGCCAGGTTTAACAGCTTAATTTTATCAAACTTAAATGATTTTTTTGAAGTCTGTTTTAAAGCATTGAAAAAGAAAACTTTTCAGCTACAGTTTTGTTTCTAAACTTGGAGAGCACACAGATGAAACCATAGGCTATGTTAATTTTCTATTGCCACTCTAACAAACTTTCCCGGCTTAACACAACACAAATCTATTATCTTACAGTTCTGTAGGTCAGAAGTCCAAAGTGGGTCTCCATGAGCTAAAATCAAGGCATCAACAAAGCTGCATTCTTTTCTAGATGCTCTAGGGGAGAATCTACTTCCTTGTCTTTTCTAATAGAGGCTGCCTCCATTTCTTGGCTCATAGTACACTTCCTCTGTCTTCAAATC